>NC_000007.14:87961324-88264354 GCF_000001405.40 Homo sapiens
ATTGGAAACTGTTCTGGGAGGAAATATTTGGAATCATCTACATTTCTTGTGGTATTTTTGGTTTCATCCTGTGGTCTCACAGTATTGGATTATCCCACCAAGGAAGAACATACAGATTTTCAGTATGGTGTCTAAATGTAATCTCTTCCCCTCCTCTTCCTATAATCCCACAATGTAATGCATTTGGATTCTTCTTTGCAAGACAGTATTACTTCCATGCACTTAAATGTAGTTGTATTTTATGTTTAGTACAAGCATGGTTATGAATTACTCCTTTTGCAGGATGTTTTATCTGGTGCGGTTGGCAGATATTTTTAGAATTAGCCTGCCGTAAAGCTTACTAAGTAGCAGATACTTCTACTGTGCCTAAGAGATGAGCAGCACACTTCCAAGCTGTCTTTGAACATGTTAATATCTAGTTTCACAAATGGGAGAAATAGGGCTAAATTGCATTAAGACAGAGTTTTGTTAGTGATTTAAAAGGAAAAGTAAGATGATTCAGCATTGGAACAGACTATAAATGGGGGTTGAGGAACTGTCTCAAGAACTTATAAAACAGGTTCAACAATCATTTTTCAAAATGGTTTTGTGTAGGTTTGTTTCCTTACAAGTGAGGGAATGAATCATATAACTCATCGAGGTTCCCTGAAGCTCAAAGTTCCATTCTTCTCTGTCTGCCTTATAGATAATGCTCATGCAAGTCATGTAGCCAAATGACCACCAAACTCACTAACAAATGTCAGATGAATATAATTAACACAGGAACACAGGTCAAAAGTATTTCAGGAGAATTAGTGTAATGCATATACTGTTGAGAGTTACACTCTATAAAACAATGATAGTGCTTGTAATTACTAGAGAACTCACAAGGAAACAGTAAAGTAGTTAAACTATGTGAAAGCAACCTTTATTATGTGAGTCCTGACAACTACTTTTCACTTTTGGCTAATTACAGTTTGCAAAATAACTTTTGTTCATGTTATTGTCAGATTAACAGTTGTCAGGTTTATTTTAAATTTGTAAGTGAGCACATTCTTTGTGCTAAGCAAGGTGCCAAACATTGGGACTACAGAGGCACTTGGTATAGCGTTGAGAGTGGAAGATGGTATAGCTATAAGCCATGCACCTCAATGAGAGAGGGATAGAGGAATTGTCATCTGGAAGTGACAAGGGAAGCAAGAACAATTCTGATTCCTGAATACAACACGAAATTCTGTTCACACTGCTTACACTTTTTTTTAATCATGTGGCAGAATAATATGCCTAACGTTTATGGAGCTAGAACATTCTGTGGACTTTTTTTTTTTTGAAGATGGAATCTTGCTGTGTTGCTTAGTCTGGGTCAAACTCCTGGGCTCAAGTGTTCCTCCCACCTTAGCCTCCCCAGTAGCTACAACAACAAGCACCAGCCACTGCAGCAGCTCGTTCTGTGCATCTTACATGTATTCAGTCTTCACAGCAATCCTCAGAGGTTGATACTGTTTTTCGCAGTTAATAAATAGTGAAACTGAGGCACAGAGAGCTTAAATAATGCCCAGGATCATTCAGTTTAGGAAGGGGTGGAGCTAGGATTTGAACATAGGAAATTTGTCTCGAAGATCTGGAGTTTTAACCACTATCCTATGCAACTTTTCATAAGCAACTGCTCACAGTTTTAAAACAGAGGGAAAACTCTTGGACAAAGCAATTGAGCATAGCATTATATTATTGTCTTGTAAGATAATAACATGTCTTTCCAGATAATAAAAATCTGTTGGTAGGGCCATATCTTCCTCAGAGTCCCTTTTGGTTCTCCTGGAGGTACCTGTGTACACAGTAGGGGTTCAGGACTTGGTGGTGGTGGTGGAGACGGTGAGGCATGCAGGGAAGGCCAGGGAAGGACAAAAAGGACAGCCTGAAAGCAGTTTGCTAAGGATGGCCCTTCAGGGAAAGTTTCAGTCATGAGTCTTTGCCAGGAGGCAGCTTCCCAGAAACCCAGTGGGGGAAGTTCGGAGCGACAACCCACCCAGTTTTCAGAAGTGAATAAGTTCTCCTAGGGTATCATTTGATAAATTAAATAAAAAGTGACCTCCGTGTTACTTTGAAAGTATTCATTTGCCTCAGAGCAACAAGAAGTTTAAAAAAAACTATTATAAAATATAGAAAGAATGACTGTGCCTGGCCTTTTTCCTTTGTAAAAAAGAATCAAGATATCTTGTAGGAAACCTTTCTTTAACCCAGCATGTCAAATGTACAGAATCCTCATTAAACTGCACTGATTTGTCTCCAGTAGAGGCAAGAATTACAGAGTCCGATTTATTCAGCATTGTATCCAAACACATCAACAGCACAGAACATGAAGAAAACAGTATCTGAGCCCCTGTATGCTCAGTTTTGTTAAGGCTGAGCAGCTAATCAGAGGGAAGGAATGAATGGCTCTCCTCTAGCTACTGGCTCCAGAGCTCCACCATCCTGTGATGGCTCCTTGTAATTTTATTCATCTTTTATGTTTCTGATACTGTTGGGGTCAAGTTCAATGAGCCTTTGATATGAAATTGTTTCTATTAAGAGCTGAGTTCATGCCAGTGAAGAAAGAGTTTTGAGAGTAAGGGTTTTATTTCTTTTAAATATTCAGATGTGAGGCTGTAAAACTAATTAGATATCACCAAGGTTATATTAATATATATTTTTTCTTGTAATAAGATATATTTCAGAGCTAAGGGTAGTCTTCATGTGATTCTGACTTTACATCACTAGACACTGTTACTATGTCTTAAGTCTGTAAGACCCTTCAGTGGTGATCTATATCCTATCTCCCTCATTTAGAGTGCAGTTGTTTCTCCTATTTCCAGCTCTTCTGAGCTGGGCTCAGCACTAGAAAGTTTGCTTGCTTTAAGTGGTAATTATCTTCCAGGTTACAGTTGGCTACAAGCTTTTCCTGCCATAATGTATACACGTGCACACACAAGCACTGTTGGATGTATAATGGATAATGTGACTTGATTTGTGCAGTTTTTCTATGTCTCCTAATAATGGTATCTCTTAGGATTTCCTGCTTTCAAAGATGATTTGGAGTCAGTGTATTTTAAAAAGGCATTTCACTTTTCTAGGGAAAGTTTAATGCTAAGGATTAGGTGACAAGATTGATCTTTTTTTATCACAGGGGCTAATAGTGACTAGCTCCAATAAATAATAGAAGTATAAATAAAATTAATTTCTAGAGTCTCTTTTATTACCTTTGTCTAACAGAATAATTTGATTATTTTTCAACCCCTTAGGTTTTTTATTAGAACGTGTTTGAAAAATTGTACTCATTTAATTTTTTTTTAGATTCAGATGTTTTTGAAGTCAGAATCCCAGAAGACCATATACCAGATACAGGTAATGCAGTACCTATAACAAAAATTTTCATTTTGGATGTTAGTATTTTCTCTCAAACATGAATTGTGGATGGATTCTTTCAACCTTCCTGGAACTCAAGGGCAAGGAGTTACTCTTCAAAGCAGCTTGGAGACACCAGCTGGTAGTATGTGGAAGCCTCTGAGTTTAAGAATTTGGGGGCAGATTTATGTCATACTGAATCACTGTTAAAGATTCTTGCTATTTTCTAACCTATGTGTGCATTGCAAGACTACATGGTTTTAAGACATGGTTTTCTCAGAGAGGGCTGGTAGTCTGTTTTCTCTCTTTCTTTCTCTTACAGACACACACCACAATCCCATCTTCTTTCTTTACTGTGGTAGTTAAGATAGCTATAGGTAGTGTGTTCTTCCTACCAGTCTTCATTCTAGCCCACTGGCAAACAAAAAAAAATGAAATATTTTTGCGGTGGTTCTTGTCGCTAGAATTCTCTTGTTTGGTGTCCCAATAAAGGAAGCCTTTGGTTAAAAGAAAGAAAGGAAGAAAGTCTCTGGTGTTTGACAGTCAAGTCATAGGTGAAAACCTGTCGTTTGCATATCCTTAACATTAGGGACTTAACTGCTTTTATTTTTCTCTTCTTTTTTAGCAGGTACTTTGCTCTTAGAGTATTTCTTGACTATATCCTTGGAAAACTTTTAGACGAGTGAGATATGTTAGTAAAGAAGGCATATGGTCCTATGTTTAAAGTTTGAAACATAGTTCCATAGTTTATTATATGTAAATGTGTGAGCAGAACATCCTTTAGAATTATATAGTTTCATTCCTTAGTCCTAGGAGAAAAGGCCTTTATACACCATGTGAAATTGTTTCCCAAAGGAAATGCTATGGAATTTATTTGTGCTAGCTATTTATTATGGGATTTTGTACAACATTATTTCCTATTTTTCTTTCTTCAGACACTTGGAGCTAGCCCTTTAGTAAAAGTGAGCCTTTACTCTCAGATACATCTAATGTCTATATAAGCAAATAAAATCAGGGAAAGAAAAATCCATTGATATTACAGAACTGGGTGAAGTAAACCTTGATGTGAAGAACTCACCATTCTTAGTTTTATTATTTGGACATGGCTTACTCCTGAAGTTGCCTCCAGGAGAGATTGTGACCCAGCTGGCAGAGACAATTCTTATTTCTAATTCTGTTTTTAAAATTACCTGATTTAGAGCTAAACTGACTAGTTATTCATGTGAGAGTGTAGTGGCTTGACAGCCATTTACTCATTTTTCCTCTTCTCTGCTTTTTACCTTTTGATAGTTACATTAGTCTCTGCAATGAGCTTTTATATACTCTCTTCACCATAAACAAAAATGTTGTGTTTTTCTCACAGCATTCTGTAATTGTGACTATTTTCAGCTTGCATATGGGGAAAAACAAGATGAAGATGAAAGTTTTCCTAACTCTACTCTAATGAAATATCAAGCCAATAGTGGGGCTGGGAAGAGCTCTTGTCTCATTTCTCCCCGGCCTTTTCTGTACCAGAAAAGAGTATCCATTTCCCAGGGCTGATTTGTCGGAGGGATTTTTGTCTGCTGATTTTGTTGCATCTAAATGTTAGGGTTCCTTGCACTCAGATTTAATTATAGCTCGATACAACTATACTATATTGTGTTGTTCTCAGACTACTAAATATCTTAAAGGTCTGCTTTGACTTTCAGGATTATGTGAGTAAGCATTTTCTTGTTCAGGCCTTAAATTGAAGGCCTAGTAATGGGCAGTTAATGGCCAAGATGATGGAGAGACTGATTTATCAGAAGATAGCTGAAGCATAAATAGGTAATGAGGCTGCCTGACTTCCTGAATGGAGATGAGAAAATAGGAGCTGGTGCCAGTGTCAGCATAGTCTGTCTTTTTGTCTTTGCCTCTGGTTTGTTGGAGCAGGGACCACCTTGGCAGCCAGGGAATCACAAGAGTTCCGGGCTTTTAGTGCCTTCAGAACTGGAAATGTAGCAAGGTAAATTCGGGGAATGCCTCTCAAGAGTTCATCTTATCCAAGGAAAGCCGTTTTTTTTTTTTTTTTTTTTTTTTTTTTTTTGTGGCATGTGTAGCCTTCATCTAGGAATTCCTGGGTAGTGAGATCTACATGATGTAATCTCTGTCCTAGGAAAATGCATCCCAAAACAAGGGCAAGAAATTGTTTACATCAGTTGTGATATGGTTTGGCTGTGTCCCCGCCCACATCTCATCTTGAATTGTAGTTCCCGTAATCCCAACATGTCATGGGAGGGACCTGGTGGGAGGTAATTGAATGATGGGGATGGTTACCTCCATGCTATTCTCATGATAGTGAGTGAGTTCTCACGAGATCTGATGGTTTTATAAGGGGCTTTTCCCTCACTTCACTCTGTACTTCTTGCTGCTGGCATGTGAAGAAGGATGTGTTTGCTTCCCCTTCTGCCATGACTGTAAGTTTCCTGAGGCCTCCCCACCCCTGTGAACTGAGTCAATTAAACCTCTTTCCTTTATAAATTACCCAGTCTCAGGTATTTCTTCATACCAGCATGAGAACAGACTAATACAAGTTATAAATTTTTTCATGTAAAATAAAATCAACAGCAAGAATGGAAATTTGACTTGGAAAGCAAGTATAAGTAGATAAGAATTCCATGAGAATTGGCCATACTTTAGACTCACATGAAGTAGCTCTTTAAAAAATATGGGCTTGGAGGCCAAAGTAGAAAGATTGCTTGAGCTCAGGACTTTGAGACCAGCCTGGGCAATGTAGTAAGGTCCTGTCTCAAAAAGAATAAAAATACCATGGGAATTCCAATATTTTGCTCCTTTTCATGCCTCATTTAAAAAAACAGTATAGGCTGGGCATGGTGGCTCATGCCTGTAATCCCAGCACTTTGGGAGGCCGAGGCAGTCAGATCATGAGGTCAGGAGTTCGAGACCAGCCTTCCCAGATGGTGAAACCCGTCTCTACTAAAAATACAAAGAATTAGCCAGGTATGGTGGCGTGTGCCTGTAATCCCAGCTATTCGGGAGGCTGAGGCAGGAGAATTGCTTGAGCCCTAGAGGCAGAGGTTGCAGTGAGCTAAGATCGCACCACTGCACTCCAGCCTGAGCGACAGAGTGAGACTCTGTCTCAAAAAAAAAAAAAAAAAAAAAAAGTATATTGAGGTTCTACTTTGTGACAAAGTGTGCCAAGGTGCTTACAGAGATATTGGCCCTCAATTTAGCTGGAAAGACTATCTGACTGAATTTCTTTTTCTTCCTTTTGTCTTTCTCTTACTCATTCCCTCCTTTTAGAAAAAACTTTTAAAACTTTTATTATTTTGGTTGAACTCAACACCAAAATGTAGGTAGTAAATTGTCATAAGAACATACATTTTACTTTTAAGAAATAATGCAGGAATTTAGTAAGTAAATATTCAGTTTTGAAAGTTAAACATATTTTGTCATAAATAGTGAAGGCAAGGGGAGAGAGCTATTTTTATTGGACATGTATTATCACAAAGGTCTTTAATCCATTTTTATGGCTTTCAAGATAAGGAGGGCATTTCTTAGGTTGGTTTAGAATATTGCTTTTCAACTGTTGGCTATACCTTAGAATGACATTGATGGCTCTTTAAAAAATGTTGATGCCTGGGATCCACTGCAGACCAAGTGTATCAGAATCGCTGAATTTGAGGCATAGGCACTAGTATTTTTTAAAAAGTTTCCCAAGGTAGTCTGGGTGTGGTGGCTCATGCTTGTAATCCCAACGAATCAGGAGACTGAGGTAGGAGAATTGCTTGAGCCCAGGAGTTTGAGGCTGCAGTGACCTATGATCGCATCTCTGAATAGCCACTGCACTCCAGCCTGGGCAACACAGTGAGATTCTGTCTCTACAAAAAATTTAAAAAATAGAAATAGCTGAGTATGGTGGCACATGCTTATAGTCCCAGCTACTCAGAGGGGCTGAGGTGGCAGGATCACTTGAGCCCAGGAATTTGAGGTTACAGTGAGCTGTGACTGTGCAACTGCACTCCAGACTGAGAAAAAGAGCATGACCCTATCTCTAAGGGGGAAAAAGAAAAGCTTCCCAAGTGTATTAGTCTGTTCTTACACTGCTATAACGAAATACCTGAAACTGGGTAATTTTTAAGAAAAGAGGGTTAGTTGGCTTATGGTTCTGCAGGCTGTACAGGCTTTTGCTTCTGGGGAGACCTCAGGAAACTTAAAATCATGGCAGAAGGTGAAGGGGAAGCTGGCATGTCTTACATGGTCAGAGCAGAAGGAAGAGAGAGAGAGAAGGGGGAGATGCTACACACTTTTAAACAACCAGAGCTCCTGAGAACTCACTCACTATCACAAGAACTGCAAGGAGGAAAGTCCACCTCCATGATGTAGTCACTGTGCACCAGGCCTCTCCTCCAACACTGGGGATTACAATTCTACATGTGATTTGGGTGGGGATGCAAATCCTAACCATATCACCAAAGAAGTCTAATGTGGAACCAGGATTGAGAATAACCAGTTTAGAAGTTCTTTGATGTCTTTACTTCCATCTTGATCTTCCATAATAGATCAGTAACATATAGCGTGCCTTGTAATTTCCTGATTGTGCTGAGCTGTTTGCTGTTTTTGTGCCTTTGTTGTTCCTGTTTCCTGGAGTGCTTTCCCTTACATTGTCAATCTGAGGAGCACCAATGCATTCCTCGGTATCCCTACAGTTGAAGGACTGCTGTTGTATTTTATACATATACCTACTGTTAGACTTACACTCATTTTGTAATAATTTGTTTAGTACCTTCCTCTTGTGACTGTGAGTTTCCTGAGTGCAAGAGCCGTATCCAACTCATCTTTCTTTCCCAGAGCCTGGTATGATCAGCACTCTAAAAGTGTCGAATGGACTATCACTTATTTAATTATTACAGCAAATCTACAAAGTGTGTATTATTATTTTTGCTCTTTAAGAGATGAGGACTTTCAGTTCAGAAACATGAAACAACCTGCTCTAGTTTATTCCACTGGTAAATGGAAGACCTAGAATTCAAATGTACCTCAGCTCTTTAAAGTTTGTTCTTTAAAAATTGTGCTATTTTGTTTTGTTTCATTTTGTTTTAAAATGTCCTGTTGCCAGGCACTGTTCTACTTCTTGTAATACTAAATGCAGATGGTTGGATTTCAAGAACAGTTTGGTTTAAAGATAATGTGTAAATTAGATACAATATATAATCAGCTTATGAAAACTGTGGGTGTTACTGAGATGGAAAAGGGAGAGTAACATGGAGTCATAAGTATAGAAATACAGACAGAAAACACTAATGTTCTTACATTTATCATACCAATTTACATATAGGTAGACCTGTTGGGTAGAACTCTCTGTTAACAGATGCCATTGTAATACAGTTCTGCTTCACAAAATTAATCCCATATCTTGATGTGGCCACAACAAATTCTAGAATGAGAAACCTTCATCTGAAATAGAGATATAGTATCAATCCTTTGCAGCTCTTTTGCCAGAAGTTCTCATAAGGCTATGGTGATTTTTCAGTTGCCTTTTCCGATGTAGAAAAGAGGGATCATATATACAAGCCATATATATATATATGTATTTATTAAACTGAAGATGTTAGACTTCCAAGAATTATACTTGTAGTTTTTTTAAACTGAGCTGAAAGAGTCAAATGGCAAATATGTGTTTAGGACGCAGTACCTAAAGTACTGTTACATGCATTAACTCTTATTTTTAATAATATTAATTACTTTCACAGTTATCTTATTGTATACTACCATTTGATTGGTAATATTCCCACCCCATTGGTAAACATCAATTCGTTATTCAGGTTGGACTTAATTAAAAACCTAAAGTACCTCATCTTTCTCCTTGTGTCAGAGTTCTGATTCTACTATGAATGTTGTACTGCTAACTTTGCTTTAAAAATTGGTTATCAGTAAGGCAGTCTTAAAAAGTTCCTTTGTGTTTGATCTCTGGGATAGGTAGGTTGGCCCTGGTTCATTGACTCTAGAAGATATGAGGAGAAGAGGACAGGCTGCCACAAAGCAAAATGCATGAGAAACGAGTGTTATATTAATTCCGCATTTTAATTTCAGCTATTGCCCATGAATAATAAATAGGCTCCAATCTGGGGATTGTATCATGTTCTTATGGTCCTAAAATTCTGTGATTCATTTTTGAATTTAGAATTTAGAATTATCTTTATGTAATTATACTGATTTATTAAGAGTTCCTGCCATTTGGAGAGTTATTTTATATTTTTGCATTTTTCCCTTGAATCTTTTGTTTCACAGCTTCTATAAATGTCAGCCTCACTGCTTGCCTCAATCTCTAAAGCACATACATACTGCAAGCACATACTTTACCATATCCATGTAATTTCTTTTCCTTAAGTGACAGACATATATATATATGTTTAACTATAACTCTGAGTTTGTAAGGTTGTTATCAAATTGGCCTTAGGACATGTGCTGTGTGTCAGCTATGGTCATGTTATTAACTTTTAGATGGAAATGGAATTCTAAAGATTGTTTTTTATGTTTTGATTTTCTTGTCATATCTTCTAAAAATGCTCTTTAGAGTATTTTCATGATACTGAAATAACTTCTATTATAATATTTATTCATTAGAACCCAGTAAAACCTGCAAGTACCTCCAAGCTGTAGGATGAAAGCAAGGAGTTGAAATATGATGAAAAAGGCCTACCAGGAGGTGAGATGCCTACTCTACCACCAAATATGTGACTTTGGAAGTGACTTTTGCCCACACTGGCCTCAGTGTCCCTAGTTATATACTAAGGATCTTGTATTATGTGACCTCTAGGAATCTCTCAATATTATTCTGTAATACCTGAAGTACCTGTTTAATAGTTTTTAAAATCACAATTCATTCTTATGTAGTAATTTGAAAGATGGCATTTCTGCAAAATTACGTTTTTCCAGTATCTGTGAGGGGTATTACTACTTTTTCATCTTCAACTTAAAGTTAATAAATATTGGAATTTTTCCTTGACAGTACCTTAGCCTGTGTCCCCCACCAAAGGAAATTCTTGGTATTATACTGATTCTCTCTTCTCAAACATACCTTTTTCCTTAAACTAAAAAGGCAGGGTCTAAGAGTAACTTTCTGAGAGCCATCCTGGCTCACTTCAGTGGTGTTGAATAATAAGCCTGATAATATAGCAACTCAGTGTAGTTCATTTACTTTATTCCTTCTCCAAGATAACCTTAAGAAGCAACCATATTGGCCGGGTGCGGTGGCTCATGCCTGTAATCCCAGCACTTTGGGAGGCCAAGGCGGGTGGATCACGAGGTCAGGAGATCGAGACCATCCTGGCTAACACAGTGAAACCCTGTCTCTACTCAGGGATGCCCTCTGTCACCACTCCTATTCAACATAGTGTTGGAAGTTCTGGCCAGGGCAATCAGGCAGGAGAAGGAAATAAAGGGTATTCAATTAGGAAAAGAGGAAGTCAAATTGTCCCTGTTTGCAGACGACATGATTGTATATCTAGAAAACCCCATTGTCTCAGCCCAAAATCTCCTTAAGTTGTTAAGCAACTTCAGCAAAGTCTCAGGATACAAAATCAATGTACAAAAATCACAAGCATTCTTATACACCAATAACAGACAAACAGAGAGCCAAATCATGAGTGAACTCCCATTCACAATTGCTTCAAAGAGAATAAAATACCTAGGAATCCAACTTACAAGGGATGTGAAGGACCTCTTCAAGGAGAACTACAAACCACTGCTCAATGAAATAAAAGAGGATACAAACAAATGGAAGAACGTTCCATGCTCATGGGTAGGAAGAATCAATATCGTGAAAATGGCCATACTGCCCAAGGTAATTTATAGATTCAATGCCATCCCCATCAAGCTACCAATGACTTTCTTCACAGAATTGGGAAAAACTACTTTAAAGTTCATATGGAACCAAAAAAGAGCCCGCATCGCCAAGTCAATCCTAAGCCAAAAGAACAAAGCCAGAGGCATCACGCTACCTGACTTCACACTATACCTACAAAGCTACAGTAACCAAAACAGCATGGTACTGGTACCAAAACAGAGGTATAGATCTATAGATCAATGGAACAGAACAGAGCCCTCAGAAATAACACCGCATATCTACAACTATCTGATCTTTGACAAACCTGAGAAAAACCAGCAATGGGGAAAGGATTCCCTATTTAATAAATGGTGCTGGGAAAACTGGCTAGCCATATGTAGAAAGCTGAAACTGGATCCCTTCCTTACACCTTATACAAAAATTAATTCAAGATGGATTAAAGACTTAAATGGTAAACCTAAAACCATAAACTCCCTAGAAGAAAACCTAGGCAATACCATTCAGGACATAGGCACGGGCAGACTTCATGTCTCAAACCCCCAAAGCAATGGCAACAAAAGCCAAAATTGACAAATCGGATCTAATTAAGCTAAAGAGCTTCTGCACAGCAAAAGAAACCACCATCAGAGTGAACAAGAAACCTACAGAATGGGAGAAAATTTTTGCAACCTACTTATCTGACAAAGGGCTAATATCCAGAATCTACAACGAACTCAAACAAATTTACAAGAAAAAAACAAACCCATCAAAAAGTGGGCAAAGGATATGAACAGACACTTCTCAAAAGAAGACATTTATGCAGCCAAAAAACACATGGAGAAGTGCTCACCATCACTGGCCATCAGAGAAATGCAAATCAAAACCACAATGAGATACCATCTCACACCAGTTAGAATGGCGATCATTAAAAAGTCAGGAAACAACAGGTGCTGGAGAGGATGTGGAGAAATAGGAACACTTTTACACTGTTGGTGGGACTGTAAACTAGTTCAACCATTGTGGAAGTCAGTGTGGCGATTCCTCAGGGATCTAGAACTAGAAATACCATTTGACCCAGCCATCCCATTACTGGGTATATACCCAAAGGATTATAAATCGTGCTGCTATAAAGACACATGCACACGTATGTTTATTGTGGCACTATTCACAATAGCAAAGAGTTGGAACCAACCCAAATGTCCAACAATGATAGACTGGATTAAGAAAATGTGGCACATATACACCATGGAATACTATGCAGCCATGAAAAATGATGAGCTCATGTCCTTTGTAGGGACATGGATGAAGCTGGAAACCATCATTCTCAGCAAACTATCGTGAGGACAAAAAACCAAACACCGCATATTCTCACTCATAGGTGGGAATTGAACAATGAGAACACATGAACACAAGAAGGGGAACATCACACACCGGGGACTGTTGTGGGGTAGGGGTAGGGGGTGGGATAGCATTAGGAGATATACCTAATGCTAAATGACGAGTTAATGGGTGCAGCACACCAACATGGCACATGTATACATATGTAACAAAGCTGCACGTTGTGCACATGTACCCTAAAACTTAAAGTATAATAATAATAAAATTAAAAAAAAAAAAAGAGAAACCTTGTCTCTACTAAAAAGAAAAAAATACAAAAAAATTAGCCAGCCGTGGTGGCGGGTGTCTGTAGTCCCAGCTGCTCGGGAGGCTGAGGCAGGAGAATGGTGTGAACCTGGGAGGCAGAGCTTGCAGTGAGCCGAGATCGTGCCACTGCCCTCCAGCCTGGGCGACAGAGCGAGACTCTGTCTCAAAAAAAAAAAAAAAGAAAAAAAATAAAAGAAAAGAAGCACCATATTTCTTCTCTTTGGCCTATTTATCAGCCAGAAACATGGGGAAGGTAGGTTCCTGAATATTGGAAGACCACAGAAAATGCGAAGAAACCAGGCTCACATTTATTTTAGTGACCACCACTGCAAGTTTGGTTTGGGTGAGAAGTCCTGTGTTTTGGGTTTGATCCTTGAGGCCTCATGAGTTTCAGCCCTGCTGCTGAAAGTGTCTTGGTTTTAGCCAAACTGTGGAGGAAAGTGACATTGAATACTGGTGCAATGAACTCATTGGAGCTGCTTTTCAAAATGTTCAGAGACAGTGTCAGTGATGCTGTATTAGTTTCCTGGTGCTTCTATAACACATTAGCAGAAACTTCGTTGCCTGAAACAACAACAACTTATTGTCTTACAACTGTGGAGGTCAGAAGCCTGAAATAGGTCTTACAAGGATAAGATGAAGTATTGGCAGTGCTTTGCTCCTTTTGGAGGCCCTAAGGGAGATTCATTCCTTGCCTTTTCTAGTTTCTAGAGGCTGTCTGCATTCCTTGGTTCCTGCCCTCTTCCTCTTAGCACTCTGATCTCTACTTCCACCATCATACCTTCTTCTCTGGTTTTAACCCTGTTGCCTTCCACTTATAAGGACTCATGTAATTAGATTGAGCCCATCCAGATAATCCAGGATAATCTCCCCAAGTCAAGGTCCTTAACAATATCTGCACAGTCCCTTTTTCCATGTGAGGTAACATGTTCGTAGGTTCTGGATATTAGGGTGTAGGCATATTTAGGGGTCATTATTTTCCCTACCGCAGATTCCTTCTAGTTATTAATGTTGTTACCTGGATATTACCTCCTTCTGGAGGCCTTCTGAGACACCCTTAGACCTCCATCTTCCCTGGTCATTCTCGACAGCATTTCTCTGTTTTATTAAGTCTGAGAATACTATGTTTATTTTCTAAACTTATTTTTAATTTAATTGTTCATTTTCTGTCTCCTCTACTATCAGATAAACTCCACAGGAGCAGAAACATGATCAGTTTTCTTCACTACTTTGTCCCCCAAATCTAAATAGCTCCCAGCACTTGGTAGGCTCTCAGAAGAAGGTTATTGAATGAATCAATCTGTATATAGTCTAAGAAAGCTTGCCTTATATTAAAACTATGTTAACATACTCCTGTTCCTATTACTATCAATAATGCAAACATTCTTACTAAGCAGTAGTTAAGCATTCTGTCAATGGATTTTCTTTTGAATTTAAGTACATGAGTTTCTCATTGGGACATAACTGAGATCAATAAAATAAGATACCAGATGTAAAATGGAGCTGCAGGAAAAAGAATTATAATTAATGCAGACAGTAAATACCTTGCCAAGAAGAATTTTAACATTACCTCAATCCAAGCTGTAATCATGATACCAAGGTGAATAACACGTGGCCCTTGTGTTTTTCACCACAAATTTGCAACATTAATATTTCTGATTCAAAGGAAATTGAGGTAAGAGCTTTAATAGTCCTACAATAAGGATGGAGGAGGGAGAGGTTCATTTTAACTGAAACATCATTTCTGGTAAGCAGAGGCTCTTCCCAAAACACAGTTGTTAGCACTCTAGGAAACTCAAAGAGCTTTAGGTAGAGGGAGTGATGTTATCCATTGACATCACATTAAAAGCAACTCTGATGGAAAGAGTGTCTTTCTATAAGCAGTTAACTTATAGCTGTTCAGTTGTTGTTCATTTATACATCCAGGGGATTGATAACAACCTTCGAATGAATCAGGCAATCAGAAGATCAACTAAGTACCTGGTGCTGGTCAAGTACTGAGGTCTTGATGTGATATTGACCTGTAGTGAGGAGGAGATGAGGAGGCTAGACGAGGTTGGAAAGGCTTCATGGAAGAGGGGTGCTATGCACTGAATTATGCCCTCCCCACATTTAAATGTTGAAACTCTAACCCCCAACATGACTGTGTTTGGAGATGGGAGACCTTTAAGAGGTGATTAAGATTACATGAGGTCATAAGGGTGGGACCCTAATCCAATATGACTGGTGTCCTTATAAGAAGAGAAAGAGACACCAGGCATGTGCACTTACAAAGAAAAGGCTATGTGAGGACACAGAGAGAAAATGGCCATTTCCAGGCCAAGGAGACAGGCCTCAGGAGAAACCAAATCTACCAACACCTTAACCTTGGACTTCCAGCCTCCAGAACTGCAAGAAAATAAATTTCTATTTAGGCCACCCAGTCTGTGGTATTTTGTTTTGGCAGTCCTAGACGACTATAGGTGGAACTTGATCTAAATCTTGAAGGATGAGTAGGGCCGTTTCTGGGAAACAGCTTTGGGGAAGTGTCTAGTTCAGGAAAGGTCTCAGCAAAATTAATGAATGAAAAAGCCACAGAAAATGTTGGAATGAACATAGCTTTTGAACTAAAGAGCAGAAGAGAGAACTGAGTGTAGGTGGGCTATGGGTAGGTGCTTATGTACCATTATGCCTGGGGTGGGGAAGGTGATTATGGAAGATCCTGAAATCCAGGGAGAAGGGTTTTTTATTTCTTTTTTTTTTTTTGATACAGTAGAAAATCTAGGGCTTACATTTGGGGTTTTGATAAGGAGCCAACTTTAGAAAGATCGGGGGATATGATGTATGGCAGAGGTGGAAATGAAGGGTAAGGTGTGGCTCCAAGAACTACCATAAAAAAAGAAAACAGATTTAGTTGGGGCTGGGTATTAGTTGAGAAGAGTTAAGAGTTATAGTTGAATGGTTCATGAGGCTGAGAGGTACCCAGGTAGTTCTTAATTTTTGAAGTTTTATGAGGATTAGAATGTGTTAGCAACAGAAGTACAAGATTCTCCCATACCTACTTCTTTAGGAGGATAGACTTTAAAACAGAAGAATTATCCTTTCTTTCCAAAAAGTCTTATTATTATTAATCAGACTCTCTCCTTTCACCTAATCTCATAGTTTACTGTGTGTGAAATCCCAGGGATGGTTGAGGTCACCTGTGGCCCCACAGAATCCTAAGATGTCCGTTCTGGGATGTGCTGGTTCTCAGGGAGCAGCAGCACTGTTGGCCTCACATACTATGTGCAGTTGCTCATGTGGCTTTTAATCTCTAAAATAATGTTTGTCACGTTTCTCATTTTAGTGATTATACATATTGATTTTAGAGGTTTGGATACTGTAGAAACATAAACACGAAAAATTCCAATAATTTGGAGTCCTACTGTTTGGATATAGCTACTGTTCATATTTGGTGAGTCGAATGGAACACACAGTTTTGCTTCCTCCTTTCTTTTCAGTTAATTCACATGATTATTCAGTATGCAAATATTAGTGCTATGGGAAACACTATATTTTTTAGTTTAGAGTCCCTTGTGGTTTTCTCTGGGAGTTCCTAGGATAGCATAGGAAATAGTGAATTTTTTTTTTCTAACACAAGAACATTTTGATAGGTGATATTGGCAGTAGATGTGCAGAGGTTTAATTTTGCTTTTAGGAAGATGTGGAAACCTTGATGAAATTATGTCTGGTAAATTATAAAGGAAATACTATTTTTAAAGTATATCTTTGTGATAAGCGAAAAAGGATTTTTTGGAGGTTTAGATATCTTCTTTCTAAATAGATCATATTCACCATATTATTTTATTCTTGAATTGAGCATATTTTACTTATTTTCTTTCCAAATGTACAAAACTTTATTTTAAAGGAGCTAGTCACTTAAAATCAGATAAGATGAATGAAGTGCAGTCATCTTAGAAATGAAATGCTTAACCACTTGAGGTAAACTAGAAAAGTAGGGCACTTGTCCTCTTTGATTGGGTGGTAATTTACTTCACATTGGTGAATGCTTGGCTTCTAAGAAGGTGTAAATTTTACTTTAATATGTTTTCACTTATTCTCCATGTTGAATTATTTTCTTATGATATTGTAAGTGTTTTGAAATAATCATAAGAAAGACTAATTGTCTGATTAGTATGGCTGAGTAATAAATAACCTTTTTTCTTTTTGATATTGTAGTTGACTCATGTTGACCAAGCAAGCTTCCAGGTTGATGCCTTTGGAACGTCATTCATTCTCGATGTCGTGCTAAATCAGTAAGTGTTGAGTTGCACTTGCTTTTGTCAGATACACATTGAATCCACTTTATTTTCCACTTGTAAAGTTTTTTCTTACTATATTTTACTTTGTCTTCCTATACCGGTTAAATACTACATTTTAAACTATACTTATTTACTGTAGGTTATAAAGTCTGGCAGATAACAAGAAATATATATTCATTTGAAATTGAGCACCTATAATAGAGTTAAGAATGTAAAATGAAAGGCAAGAGTTACCCCAATATTTTTTGTAAGAATATCTATAACTTAAGTTTCCTATGAATGACAGTAAATTATGACAATAATACTTTGGGTATTGAAGTATCTTCCTTGAGAACAGCAGGAAAGAGAAGGTTGCACTTTTTGATTAATGATTCAGAGGACTGGCTGCATGATATGTGATGTTAAATAGTACCTGGTGTTCATTAGATGCTTTGATGTGGTGGTGGATTTCTGTGAGGTTTCTGGTACTGGGATTATCCTGTGAATACAATATAATTTTAGAAATAGTTGTCTATCTAGAATTTTAGGTTTGGAAGGTGCTTTTGATTTGTTGCTGGATTTAATCTCTTGCATTTGGTCTAAGTGTAGTGTTTAATAAATCTGGTTAGTTACTGTTCACTTTTTTAAAAAAGGGTTTCTATCCTACTTCTGATCATGGGCAAGTGGGCAGAGACCAGGGTTCTGCCAGGCCTATGCTTCTGAGCTGGGCAGAATTGGGCTATAGTTTTCTGGAAGCATTTCTACAACAGGAAGAAAGTCTGAGGCCAGAAATTCAGACAAATAGACTAAGAGTGAGAATTAGAGCCTGAGTTGTCTGCAATGGGGAACCAGCTAGATGGAAGTTAATTTAAAAAGGCATGTAAGAGGCAAGACTTAGGACCATGTTATCTGGATAGGTAGCCATTAGCCACTTGTGGCTGTTTAAATTTACATTAATTCATTCAAATAAAATTAAAAATTCTGTTCTTCAGTTGCATTAGCCACATTTTAAATGCTCAATAACCCTCTCTGCCTTCACTCCCTCATCTACTTAATACCTAGTCTCCTTCTCTGTTTCATTTTAAAAATAATACTTATCACCATTTAATATATAGGTGAATTCTTATGACATTGCCATTTTTATAGGTCAAAAAAGTTTGACTACCATTATTGATGTATGGCCATCTAATATTTGATATTTTGATTATTTATTTGGTCTATAGTCTTTTTCCTACCCCTGCAATGTAAGCTCTTTGAGGGCAGAGATTTTCTTTGCTTCACTGATGTATCCTTAATATAGGGGTTAAACTCCAGGCTGGGAGTCATATTGACTCAGAAACCAGAGGATAGGATTAGCCAGGAGACAGAGGTAAGATGACTAGGAGAGGAAGAGTGAAACAGCAAAAAAGAAGATAAATGTTTGAGACTAGCTTCTGAAAGCTGCATGTAGATACTAGGTGTGATTTGGAAAGTCAGGTTCTTAGGTCTCTATTTTAATAACTCCCTTCCATCCCTCTTTGAAATCATTGCCCCTGTTGGTAATCTGTGTTTTCTGCTTCCTGACATCTGTAATTCCTTGACTTTTAATACTCAAACAAAGAAGGGATGTTTATTCATGTCCATTCTGGCCAAACTGCCTCACTTACTTTGGAGACATCCGAGTCCAAAGACTTTCTTTTCCTGAAGGAGACACACATATGGTCATACTTATCAAAGCGTGAAGTTTAGAATACTGGGGTTGAAGCATAATTTCTTCTGAGATATTGGCAGAAACCTCTATTGGGCATTTTTCTTTCTATTTCAATGCAAATTTGCAACTACAAGACATATAAAAGATTAAATAAGAGCATAAATGGAGGTAGCCTGGGCTGAGAAACATGCACTGTGCTCTTTTTTTTTTTTGCCTGGGATCGATGTTAAACATAGGTGGCAGGTGGCTGTTATCTTTATACTATAAAAATCATGATGTGATACAAAAATGTTTATCTTATTTTTAATGTAGAATTTTGTTTTTCGTGGTTTCAGTTTGTGTATTGTCTTAAGTTGGTTAAGGAGCAGGAACGTGAAGAACAATAAGTTCTTTAAACTTTTTTTTTCTTATGAAGCAATTCTGGGGCTGTGGAACATATAGAAAATTTTTTTAACTGGAGGAAAATTAAATAAGTCCATGTAGCTAGCTTCTGGTTGCAGAATGGATCCAATAATACATATTTTTTGATTGGAATGGATGGAAAAGTATCATTACATAATGTTTCTTCTTAATGTTCAGTAAATAAAATTATCTATAAGTAGATTATATCTATAAGTAGAGTTTAACCTTTGAGTAGTAACTTCCACAGGAGGCTGATAAAAATATGGAAAGGTTAAAAATGAAAAGCACAGCCAGTTTCTTTTTTGTCAAAATTATCAAGAAAAGGGTGGGGAGCAGTTTTTCTTCATGGGGTCGTAGTTGTGAAATTTCACTCTTTAGGACAGATGTATTAACAAAATGAAACATATGGCCTGGTCTGGCCACACTAGTCCTAGGCTGCATTGGACCTTTCCAGAGGTCAGCAATGAGTCTTATATTTTATTGTGAAACATTCTTCGGAAAGAAGAAAGCTCAATAAAGACATGTAACTCTATTATCTGAGCAATTCAGTCCAATTTTTTTTTCTTGTACATCTCCTGTTCTTGAAGAAGTGGATAATTAAACTGCTCCAAACAATGCAAGATGTTGAAAAATGTTTCCTTTCAGCAGAATTCTTTGATCCTTTACAACAGAGGACCTGACAAAAACCACACATAGTCCCCCAACAAAGAAGCAAGCACTGTCTGTGGACTGTGGTTGGTTGTTTATGATGTGAAATATATAACAATTAGGAAAAATATCTTTTATAGCCTGCTTTTTTTGGAAGGGATTCTGTTGTGCAGCTCTCAGATCCTGGATGATCCAGTGCCTAAATTTTGAGTGTATTTTACAGATTCTCAGCTTCTTGTCTTCTTATTTCAATAACAACGAAATGGTTTTTCTCACTGTATGATCCTTATAGCAGTCTTCTTTTCCCCCAGTTTTACAGTAAGTGGTGGGAGGACAACTAGGAACTGAAGCATGACAGATGTCAGCAGATGGGGTTGCCCATGAAGAATGGGAGGTGGTGTGGGGATAGGGAAGAGGGAGAGAGAGAGAGAAGCAGAAGCAGGGTTAGACAAGGAACACCCAAATTCTGTTTAAAAGAGAACATTCAGTCTTGCCTTCTCTCATTTAGAGAAAGCATTTCCAATTAGTTACCTCTTGCTTGCTTTATACTGTGGCTCTTGAATTTGTAGGGAAAGTAAAAATCACCATGGATAAAAGACAGGATCTGAATTCAATTGGAATTGAAAGTTAACTCTGGAAGAGTCTCATCATGCTATATTTACAGTGTGGCTGATGATGATGATAAAAATAAATGATGAGGATAACATTATAATTAAATGATGATGTTATGTGATAATAATGATAACAATAGATATCTCACTGTTATTAATAAATCTGTAACTGAATGCCTTGCTGTTCAACTAAATTCATTATGGTGAATATTTGTTCCCATGTACATTTAATACAAAGTTATTGTGTATAAGACAAATCTGTGTTTGGAGTAGTTTGGAATCCTTATGTTTATTTCATATATATATATATATATATATATACACACACACACACACACACACACACACACACACACACACATGCATACACAAGTTTTCTAAGCCTCTAGTAATGCTAAAAGCTTCTCTAGACCCTGAAGACTTAGACTTGAGAAGAAAGGAAACAAAGACTTTACTCTTAGGGAATTTGCATCTAGCCAGAGAAACAAACAATGAACATGTTAAATAAGGTAATTTCAGAGAGTGACAGTGCCATTTATAGAGAGTGTCTGGTGTGAGGATGAAAATAGCACATTCGAGAATTGGTTGTCCGGGACAGGCCATCTCTAAGGAGGTGACATTTGAAAGTAAGGGGCCCCCATGCAGAGGGAACAGCAAGGGTCTGGGCCCTGAGGCAGGAACAAGCTTAGCATGCTTGAGAGACAGAAATGTGGCTAAGGAGGTTGGCACAGGGATAGCCAAGTTATTAAATGCGGTTGGAAAAGTAGAAGGAACCAAAATATCTAGGGCCTTGTAGGCAACAGAAAGACTTTGGGTGAAAGTCTAAACAGAGGTTATTGATTTTTCCCCACACTATTTGTTGCATTATTCACTACTTCCCCTACTGGCTTATGAACATTTATTCATCAGATTCAGTTATTACATATATATATATATATATATATATATATAATTTTTTTTTTTGAGATACAGTTTTGCTCTTGTTGCCCAGGCTGGAGTGCAATGGTGCAATCTTGGCTCACCACAATCTCTGCCTCCTGGGTTCAAGTGATTCTCCTGCCTGAGCCTCCCGAGTAGCTGGAATTACAGTGCACCACAACACCCGGCTAATTTTGTATTTTTAGTAGAGATGGAGTTTCTCCATGTTGGTCAGGCTGGTCTCGAACTCCTGACCTCAGGTGATCCACCTGCCTCGGCCTCCCAAAGTGCTGGGATTACAAGTATGAGCCACCATGCCTGGCCCAGTTATTACATATTTTAATATTTTTTGAAAACAATCTCTTCTGAAGATCTTTTCATTGATTTTAGGGCTTAGTACCATCATACTATTTATTGTAGCTTTATAATGTGTTTTAATAGCTAGTATGGAAATATGTTCCATTATTAGTTTTCTGTTGCAAAATTTTCTTAGATATTTTTGCCTCTTTTAAAATAGAAATTCAGAATAATTTTGTCATTCTTCCTTTGGAATTTATTGTACTGTCACTAAACTTATATTTTAATTTGGAAAAAATAGACATTTTTACAGTGCTGAGTCTTCCCATCCAACATCACAGTGTATTTTTTAAAATGTTAAGCATTCTCTTATATGTCAGTAAAATTCAGTATTTTTGTTTTTATAGGCCCTGAACATATCATGTAGAGTATTTTCCTAGGAATTGTATTTGTTTTTGTTGCTACTGTGGGTGTAATATTTTTCCATCATATTTTATAATTATTTATTAGTGTTATACAGGAAAGGCACTGATTTGTGTTGCACCTTATTGAACTTTCTTATTTTTGCTAATGGCTTTTTATTGTTTCTCTTAGGTTTGAATGTAACATTCTAGTTTGACAATAACATGAATGGCAAATAATTAGAGTTTTTCTTTTCAAAATGTTACTTATTACCATTTCCTACCTTAATCCTTTTTCTAGAAGTTTCTGAACTGTATAATTTGGTGATAATAGCATTTTTATCTTTTTTTTTGTAATAAAAATAACTAATGTTCATTGTTAAGTAAGTAGAGTGTTGATTATTGATTTGTGAGAGCTAGTCTTTATTGTGTTAAAGCAATATCTTTTGTCTTATATTTTAAGTAATAGGTATTAGATTTTATTGAATGTTTTTCTAGTCAGTTAAAGCTTCCAGGACTAGTCAGCTTTCCCATTGGTGACACCAACCCTCCACAACAAGGCCTGTAGATAGGTTTGGATTTTCTTATTTGACCTGTTATTATGATTTATTATATTAATGGGATATAAAATTATTCTCGATGCTGATAATAAACTTGACTTTGTCATGTTGGATAATTCATTGTTTTGTCCCATATGTTGCTGGCTTCTCTGGTTGTGACTATAAAGTAGAATTACAATTCCTATTTTTTATCTTAATTATTATGACACAAGCCCCTGCCGACATTCTTGGTGTAAATTAACTCTATCCCCAAGTGTTTCCTTTAACTATTTCTGAGATTAGTCTCTAGCTTTTAATCTTATAATTACATTCCTGCCACTGGTAGATCCCCCTGCAGTGACCTGCAGACAGCTGCTCTGCCGGGCAGTTTCCCTTCACTAGTGATGCCCGCTAACATCTGCCAGAGTGGTTTCTTGAAGAACCCACAAGCCCAAACCTATCTATAGGCCTTGTTGTGGAGGGTTGGTGTCACCAATGGGAAAGCTGACTAGTCCTGGAAGCTTTTTAAGAGAGAAATCTTTGATAAATAATTTTTTTGATGTCTATTGATGTATTCAGGTTTTCTACTTGTTTTTGAGGCCAACTTTGAGAAATTATAGTTTTGCAAGGAATTGTCCACACCATGGGGTGTTTTACCTTTATCCATATTTATCTATGTGTGCTTCTCAGAAAACTCTAAAATTTCCCCGTTCCTATTCTTAAATCCTCTTTCCGAATCCTATTTTTATTTTTGGTTATCTTATCAAATATATAAACTTCTAGGGACTTATTTTTGAGACAGGTTCTTGCTCTGTTGCCCAGTCTGGAGTGCAATGGCGTGATCTCGGCTTACTACAGCCTCAACCCCCTGGGCTCAAGCAATCCTCCCATCTCAGCCTCCTGAGTAGCTGGGACTACAGGTCTGCACCACCACGCCCAGCTAATTTTTGTGTTTTTAGTGGAAACAGGGTTTCACCATGTTGCACAGGCTGGTTTCGAGCTCAAGTGATCGCCTGCCTCAGTCTCCCAAAATGTTGAGATTACAGACATGAGCTACCACACCTAGCTTAGGAACATATTTGTTGCATACAATGAAAGTCTTTTTTTTTTTTTTTAAAGAATTTTATTGGCTAGGTGCGGTGGCTCACGCGTGTAATCCCAGCACTTTGGGAGGCTGAGGCGGGCGGATCACAAGGTCAGGAGATTGAGACTATCCTGGCTAACATGGTGAAACCCCGTCTCTACTAAAAATACAAAAAATTATCCAGGCATGGTGGCAGGCGCCTGTAGTCCCGGTTACTCGGGAGGCTGAGGCAAGAGAATGGCGTGAACCCAGGAGGCAGAGCTTGCAGTGAGCCGAGATCGCACCACTGCACTTCATCCTGGGCGACAGAGTGAGACTCCATCTCAAAAAAAAAAAAAGAATTTATTTTATATTTCATAAAAGTCACCCATTTCAAGTATACAATTCAGTGATTTTCAGTACCTTTACTGAGTGGTGCAGCAATCACCAAAATTCAATTTTTAAATGCTTTTCATTTTTCAACAAGATTGTTTGTTGCCATTTACATGTAAACCTCATTCCTGGTCCCAGCCCAATGCAATCACTAATCTACTTTCTGTCTTTATAAATTTGTGTTTTCTGGACATTTCTTATAAAGGGAATCATACACTATGTATTCTTGTATGTGGCTTCTTGACATGTTTTTGAAGTTCATCCATGCTATATGTGTCAGTTCATTCCTTTTATTACTAAATATTATTGCATTGTATTGATATATCACATTGTGACTATCCATTCACCCGATGGTGGACATTTGGTTTTTTTCTAGTGTTTGGCTATTATAAATAATGTTACTATGAACAATCTGTCTGTGTAGTCTTTGCGTGCCTATATGTTTTCATTTCTCTTGGATAGATACCTAGAAGTGGAATGGTTGGATCATATGGTAGTTTCATGCTTTGAGAAATGCTAAGCTATTTTCCAAAGTAGGCTTTTGATTTTTTTAAATGGTGCTATAACAGCTGTTTTTCTATAAATTCTATTTTGCAGGAGGGATGATGTCAAGTATAAATAGTTACTAAGGCTTCAGGTTTTCAGTTTCATGTCTCCTGCAAGTCTGGAAAGAGTTCCATACTTCTCATGGCTACGATCTTATGTTTTTGATTTATAGTAAAACTCTACCTTTGAAATCTACGTTGAACTTTTGAAACTTTTTAAGGGTTGGGATTCTACTATTGGTAGAATACCTTGAGGAACTTTATATAGACCTTACATTTCTTGTTCTTTAGCTGAAGCATAATTCACTTTTTCTTGTTTGTTCTAAGTTGAGAAGTGGTAAAGTTGTGAATCCCACAACTAGACTTTTGGAAGGCTAGTTATAACTTCTTCTCACAGACACAAAGTCTCTTGTGCTCAGCCCAGGGTGGCCTTGTTGTTAGAGGGGCAGCTTTTGGCTGCAAAGTCCAGAGCAAAGGGGAACTGTATTGGAAGGTGCTGGAAGATCCATGGATGTGTCTGGCAAAGAGCTAGAGAATGATCCAAGGAAGAGACCAGTACTAAAGCTAAGACCTAGGAAATTGTTTCTGAAGGGGTATTTGGAAGGAATCCTAGAGGCAACAGGACCCCAGGGACTAGAGACTTACAGGATTCAAAAGGCCAAACTCATGGGTGAGGAGGATACTGTGCTAGGCTTGAGTTAGCTCTATTATAAGGATATATCCGAGCTTACTAGAGTAGCATCAGGCTCCTGTAACACCTTCATGTTACTGGTTTATTTAAGCTTTCTGCTTTCTTGTTTGTTTTTAAAAAGTACAGACTTAGCACAGACACATTATCTTTCATATGATTGTTTAATATGACTTTTAGATATTTTTAGTATTACCTGTTTTTTTAATAGGGGAATCTGGAGATTTTAGCATACTTATGAGCCTGTTATTTAAATTGTAAATAAAATAATTGCAGAATTATTTAATATAACTTAGACAATTTGTGTTTTTTAGTTTTTCAAGGAAAATACCACATACATACTATTTTTATATTTGAAATGATTGCTGTATATTTTTGTGCAACAGATTTATCAGGTGAGTGAAAAATGTAATTTGCTAGATATAGTCAACACTTCCAATGTGCAACAATGAAACCTTTAATGTAATTAAATGTTTTTGCATAAATCCCTAGAAGTTCTTTTGAGATTTTTACAGTGATTAGATGTGTTAAAGATTAAATCATCAGAGCTCACTGCTATTTTTCTCCCAGGTGTCAAATTACTATTATTATTTTAATTATTTTTTTTGGACAGTCTCACTCTGTTGGCCAGGCTGGAGTGCAGTGGCACAATCTCAGCACACTGCAACCTCCGTCTCCCGGGCTCAAGCAATTCTCCTGCCTCAGCCTCCCAAGTAGCTGGGATTACAGGTGTGTGCCACCATGCCTGGCTAATTTTTGTATTTTTAATAGAGACAGAGTTTCACCATGTTGGCCAGGCTGGTCTCGAACTCCTGACCTCAGGTAATCTGCCTGCCTCTGCCTCCCAAAGTGCTGGGATTACAGGCGTGAGCCACCACGCCTGGCCCCAGGTGTCAAATCATTGAACTTTCTTAAATTATCTAGCAGTGATAGTGGTACAGCCCAACCACAGGGAACTTTGCCAGGTTTGACACATTGGGTTCCCAGACATATTTAATGTAATTTGTTTATGATATGGCTGTTAAACTATTGGATGAACAAAATCTTTGCAAGATAAAAGATTCCATTTGAATAATTGGAAACTTGTTCTCTAATAGTTATATTTGTTTTACAGTAAGGACTATGTTTTAGAGTGAGGTATAAGGTGCGTGCTTACTCCTGGTGATACCATCTGCACAGAGCTGGCTTAATTACTTTGTCTCTGAAATATTTATCTCAGTATGTCTGTATATCAATCTGTTACTTCACACTCTGAATATATGTATATTTTCCTGTGTTTCACCTGTTGGCATATCTTCTTAGCTAATGAGTGTGTGGCAGATTGTACTGTATACCCTTGTCCTGTGAGTGTTAACTATAACCATTCTCAGACAGGGACTGTAGCTACCTTATTCTCAGTTGACTCCTTTATTATTTTGTCTATAATAAAATTAAACAGTTTTGACCTATAATGGTGCAGAAGTGATAATACCAGATATACTGCAAAGAAACAAAGAAAGATTAACAGTGACTATTTAAATGAAAATTTTAGAGAAGCTGAAGTCTCTTCTTGGAAACTGGTAGAGTATAGAAATTTAGCTTGAACTTTCTTTGAGGAAATGGTCCGGAAAGCACTGGATAAGAATCTACAAGCAGCAAGGCATAGCATCATGGTTTGATGTTATGAAGGATGTCATACACATTATTGCAGAATGGCATCTTGGTCACTGTTATATGAATGGTACCTGGGAGGAACTATAGCTAGGTACTAATATAACACTATGGGATTTTGCCAGAGAAAGGCACTGTGATGCACCTCTGTGAGGACTGTGCTGTAACAACCACATGTGGGTTTCATTCATTTAGCACACCCCTTTGCCAGAGCACATACTTGGCCCTCAGGGATAAAAAATCAGAAACTTGTCTTATAGTAGGATATATATTAAGTTAGTGTTTTATCGGAAGGTATTTCCATATTAATTGTATATTTTAAAGCAAGTCATATTTGCGTATTTTATTTTAAGAAAATCTTATGACTTACTGACTTACTGATAATTATTTCTTCTTAACTTCAGTGTTATCCAATTCAAAATTATTGGAGAGATGGGGCCTGTAGAGGCCTTAAGATTATTTTTTGTGCTGCCTTTGCCCTTTTTACTTTCTCTGGTTCTCAGGGGTTCAGGTGTGCTTTTTAGCAATGATAGAAGTAGCGAGTAGGCCTCTTAAATTCACAAACACACATATCCCTAACCCTCTCTAGTAGACATGGTAAAATAACTCTGTTACAGGCAACTTCCCTTTAGTCTTAGTCTGGAGAAGTAGCTTTTTCACTGTATTCTTTTAAAAGAGAAATTGTAGTTGCAGGAAGAAAAATGGAAGATTTTCCCTAAAAAATTGGTTTATTGTGCTTTCTCTGTTAATGTCCCCAGGCAAGAATTAGCAAATGAATGATTAATTCTACTGTTTGTGTATGCTTTGTTTCCAGAGTCAAAAGTTAAAATAGTCAAGCTTTATGCCTTAATCAGAGATGTTTCCACATGAAAGTTTAGGTTTGGTTTTTGAAGGTGAAATATAACATATAGGATATTTGAATGACCTTATGCCATCACGCTATCATTTATGAATGGGTTCTTTAATTAAAACATTATTTCTTAGATATAAACAAGCTATGGTAAGTTTCCAGGTACATAGAATAGAAACAGATGGAAAGTTTAAAGAGTTGATTTTTATCCTGACTCATTTTTGTCAAGTGATTATTTTTATTCATATTTAGTATTTTTTAGATATTTAAATTTTTCAGGCTATATTATTGTATATTATTTATTTATTTATTTAGAGATGGGGTCTTGCTATGTTGTTCAGGCTGGAATGCAGTGGCTATTCACAGGCATGATTATAGCGCACTACAGCCTTGAACTCTTGTGCTCAAGTGATTCTCCCCTGTATAGTATTCATACTCATGCTATATAGCCTGGTTAGTAGAAAACTAATTACATTTGTTTTTCTTTGCTACTATTATTAACACTGTTGTCAGAGATATGTAGTTTAAAAAGTGAATTCTTGACTGGGCATGGTGGCTCACGCCTATAATCCCAGCACTTTGGGAGGCCAAAGCGGCCAGATCGCTTGAGGCCAGGAGTTTGAGACCTGCCTGGCCAACATGGTGAAACCTCGTCTCTGCTAAAATCACCAGAATTTTCCAGGGGTGGTGGCACACACCCGTAATCCCAGCTACTCAAGAGGTTGAGGCAGGAGAATCGCTTGAACCTGGGAGGTGGAGTTTGCAGTGAGCAGAGATCACACCACTGCACTCCATCCAGCCTGGGTGACAGAGTGAGACTCCATCTCAAAGAAAAAAAAAAAGAATTATTTATATTCCAATTCAGTGTATTATTGCTGATAGTTACTTGAGTAACTTGAAGCTTCAAAGTATCAGAAGAGAATGTGTTTCATACTACTTGCTTATTTGTTGATTTATTTACTCATTTATTCATTCACTCATCTATCCATCCATCAAGTGTATATAGAGTACACTTGATGTACTCTATATACAGGTTTTGGGGTGATAGATACAAAAAGATAAAGACCCTATCTTCAAGGACATGACAACGTGGTCTGAGTAGAAAAGCAAACAGTGATACAGTGTGTAAAGGAGCATAAAAGAGGTATGGCCAGTGGCACTGGGAGTGCAATGGAGCTTTATTGAACAGAAGTATACGATCTGCTGGAGATAATTGTAGATCATTTTTCTACAGACACTAACCTTTGCTCATTTTATGTTTTTACATTGTAACTGATGAAAAATCATTTATTTTAAATACTTTTAAAATATTGAAGTCTAACATACACCAAATAAGTAACATACATGAACATTTTTAAATAATTATTAGGAGAACCAGAATAATTATTAAGATAACTCTACCCAGGTATAGAACATTACCAGTATCCCACAATCCTCCAATGTACACTTTCCCTCCCCACTATTGGAAACAATCACCCTGACTTCTGTGATAATCAGTTCAGTGATTTTTCATTATAGTTTTATCACTTATATATCTATCCCTAAACAAAAGGTACATTTATTTCTCCCCTTTTCTTCTTTTTTTTTTGAGATAGAGTCTTGCTCTGTAGCCCAGGCTGGAGGGCAGTGGTGCCATCTCAGCTCACTGCAACCTCTGCCTCCCAGGTTCAATTGATTCTCATGCCTCAGTCTCCCGAGTAGCTGGGATTACAGGCGCCTGCCACCATATCCAACTAATTTTTTTGTATTTTTAGTAGAGACGGAGTTTTGCCATGTTGTCAGGCTGGTCTCAAAATCCTGACCTCAAGTGATCCATTTGCCTTGGCCTCCCAAAGTGCTGGGATTGCAGACGTGAGCCACCACACCCAGCCTTTCTCCCTCTTTTAAAATAATTGAATGTAGAATGGACTTGTGGATTTTTATTTATGTGATATTCACACTCAATTTCAATCATTTTTCTTTGTGATATTCAAATCTTTCTAAAGTTGGTTTATAGAAGCCCTTTTGATTTCTGTGTTTTTTTGACATGACCCTATTAATCTTTAAGTGCTTCTTTGTATTCTGGGACAGGAAGAGAGCCTTTTGCTTTCTGGGACAATCAGATTGACTTTTTATTATATCTTAGAATTGATTTCTAGTTTTTTATGGTGACTAGTTTATAGACTAATCTTTGTCTTCATTTCCCTATTTCAGTTGTTTATTATCATCTTAACTTATTATATTAAAAAATGCCAAAGACTGACAGCTATCACTAGCCTTATTTTTTTTTTTTTTTTTTTTTTTTTGAGACGGAGTCTCGCTCTGTCGCCCAGGCCGGAATGCGGAATGTAGTGGCGGAATCTCGGCTCACTGCAAGCTCTGCTTCCCGGGTTCACGCCATTCTCCTGCCTCAGCCTCCCGAGTAGCTGGGACTACAGGCGCCCGCCACCGCGCCCGGCTAATTTTTTGTATTTTTAGTAGAGACGGGGTTTCACCTTGTTAGCCAGGATGGTCTCGATCTCCTGACCTCATGATCCACCCGCCTCGGCCTCCCAAAGTGCTGGGATTACAGGCGTGAGCCACCGCGCCCGGCACTAGCCTTATTTTTAATCAAGTATTGAACCAACACACAAATCAGTGACAAGCATTTCAATTCTTTGACTTTTGGGAGGATTGCTTTGCACATATTAATTAAATTGAGTGAAATATAAGATCTCAGAAATAGCTATTTTTAGAATGCCATGGTAGTTAACCATAGTAAGTTTGAGGTGATAATCAGAATTTTAAAGAAACATTAGAATTCTAAAGGGGTAAGTTCTTACTCTTCCCAAGATTGAAACACTCTTAAAACTCACTAGTGAAATACTTAATCTGTTTTTCTCTCACAACTGAAAGACATTTGATCAGAGATAAGTGAACCTTAATCAGATTCAGCTTAGATCAGAGAAATGCTCTCTGTGTTCAAGCCACTCTTGACCATGTAGAGGAAACAAATATTTATCTGGTGATCTATAGTGCAAGATGGTATCCACCCAGGGAAAGAATGAACAATCTTGCCTGGTTAAAGGGCTTCTGATAAAGCTTCATAGAAAAATTGGTGTTTTTTGTGGGTTTCAAAGCTGTGTAAGATTTTGCTACAGCAGGTTATCTAAAGCAGAGGAAAGAGATGGAACAAGGATATAGCGATATGAAAGTGCCCCCAGAGAATTATATGAAGTTCAGGGGGCTGGGGAGGGCTGGGAGGCTAAGATGCTTTGTTTGGTTGGGGCCTAGGGAAGGTGTTGGTGACTCCACTAACAAAGGTGTTAATGACTGCACTAACAAAGGGGGACTTCATTTTGTTGGTAATGGAGGACTGTCAAGGTTTTTAAGTGAATGTTAACGTTAGTACGTTTTTCATAAAGATAACTTTGATAGCAGTATGGAAGTTTGATTAATCATGAAAATAGATACTTGATATGTTTTGAAATATTGAATAAGAAGCCTACTTTGATTAGTGGTTTTGATTATCAAAATAATTCCTGATTTCCATAGGTAGTATTCGTTTTTAGGTCTACTGTAAGTGAAGATATTGCTTACTTATTCATAAATTTTTTTTCTATAGCACATTTTGATAATGCTTTGGACTGAAAGTAACAAAAAAGTCTGACTCAAGTATCTTAAAAGGAGATTCATGATCTCGTATAACTGTAAATCCAAAGGTTGTACAGCCCCAAGTGTGACTCTAGCCATGCTGCTTTGTCATTCTTGGGTCCAGAAAAGACAAAAAGACCACCTCTTCCTCTGACTCATTGTAGGGAAACGGAACCTTTTCACCAAAACTTCAGAGGTCTCGTTGGCTAGAACTGGGTCAAAACTCCTCTTAAACCTTGGTAAAGTAAAAGGTACCTCTGTGATTAGTTGATACTAGTCAGGATCACCGCAGAACTGAGGTGAGTTCGCCTTTCCCCGTATCATATAGGAGAAGAGAGGATCACTGACCAAACAAGGAATCTATTGGCTAGTGGCGTATGGGGTGGATATTGGAGAGATAGCTAGAGGGTCTGCCAAAGAGAATTTTGGTAAAGGTAACCTTGAGGAATAAATAGACTTGAGTGCTACTGTGATACTGCTGCTGAGTTCATTCCACAGCCTTGCTGAAAAGAGAACCCTCTAACTACTAAATGTACACCCCTTTACACTTGATCCAACAGGTGCTCCCTTTATCAAAAATAATGAGGCATGTAACAGTAAAACCTGGGAATTTTTATTGAATTTTATTCATTGGTAATCTTTATACATCTTATTATTCAACCCTAATGATATCTGTAATAAATTGCTTTAAATTTTTTTCATTTTAGTAACTTATGCTGTAAATAGAAGAATAATTCAATTAGAGGTATTGAATGTCAGATTGCACAATAATAGCCCTGGGCACACTGTGAAATTCATTTCTTCAGCTGACTTACTCTGGACACCACCTGAACTTATAGCTTCCTTCTGTCAGAAAGTCAGTATGCCTCAGGCCATTCTAAAGGTCCTTCCAGCACCTTACCTGTCATGTGCATTCTCTTCTTCCCTCTGCTGTGCAGTGTGGTCACCCTGATATCTTGGTTCTGTTGATTACCTCTTCTCTGATAAATCAATCCATGAAGATAAATTGGCTGGTTCTATCCCCCTTCTCAGTCCGTGTATGTGACTTTTTAGAGATCTTCTTGCCTCTTTGGGGTAACTCAAAGGATTGACTCCAATAGGTGGTATTTTAGGACAGGGCAGGATTTTGAGCACTGTGATATCTCTTAAACTTCACTGTTGAAAAAGCAATATATACACAGAACTAGCCCTACTCAAAGAGTTATTTGAGCCCATGAATTCATATTTACATGACTTCTCAGAGAGATTCCACATATTCAAGCAACAATCATTTAGAGAAAAAACAAAATCAGCTTATTAATAAATAATAAAATTGTTTATAATCAATAATAATAATCATGAAAGTGTCTGAATTTCCTGATATAAAGAATACACTAAAAACCCTCTTTTTACAAAAATTATATTGTGGCTTTGTGTTAATTGAAGTCTCTTTCACATTGTGAAAATAGTTACTGTCATTCCTTTTTTTTTTTTTTGAGACGGAGTCTTGCTCTGTCGCCCAGGCTGGAGTGCAGTGGTGTGATCTCAGCTCACTGCAAGCTCCGCCTCCTGGTTCACGCCATTCTCCTGCCTCAGCCTCGTGAGTAGCTGGGACTACAGGCGCCCGCCACCACGCCCGGCTAATTTTTTATATTTTTTAGTAGACACGGGGTTTCACCATGTTAGCCAGGATGGTCTCGATCTCCTGACCTCGTGATCCGCCCGCCTCGGCCTCCCAAAGTGCTGGGATTACAGGCGTGAGCCACCGCGCCCGGCCTAGTTACTGTCATTCTTTAGCCAAACTTTGACTATGCAGATCTGATAGCCTTGTTGTCACTTGAGTAACCTTTTTCTCCATTACTTTTTCCCTTTCTGGATCTAATTTTGATGTGGGTCTAATTCATATCTCTTCTTTTTAAAGTGTTCTTTTTTTTTTCTGATCCCACCCTGATTCCTCCTGTAGCTTATAGCTCAGATTATAACAGACAACAAAGCTTAATAGAGGTCACAGAAACTTCCAGTTCTCACTTTGCTGTGTACCTTGCATTTAAAGTGTGTAATCACAGAAACTGCCTAGTTAATCACACAAGTAGGTCTTCTTCAATGCCCATGTGGTGAAATGGCTTTGAAACAGCTTTCTAGCATTGTATTTTTTTTTTTTGGAGACGGAGTCTTGCTCTGTCGCCCAGGCTGGAGTGCAGTGGCGCGATCTCCGCTCACTGCAAGCTCCGCCTCCCGGGTTCACGCCATCCTCCTGCCTCAGCCTCCTAAGTAGCTGGGAATACAGGCGCCTGCCACCGCGCCTGGCTAATTTTTTTTTGTATTTTTAGTAGAGACGGGGTTTCACCGTGGTCTCGATCTCCTGACCTCGTGATCCACTCGGCTCGGCCTCCCAAAGTGCTGGGATTACAGGCTTGAGCCACCGCGTTAACTGGTAACACATAGCTATGGATATGAATACCAAAGGATTTAGAGAAATAACAGATGTTAATCTATCCTTCCCTCTGCAAAAATGATATTGGGAATCTCAGTGCCTGGATGGAGTGGCATAGGATTTTCTTTCATGAACACCGTTGATTGCTGCTGGGCAGTGTCTAGAAGGACTTTCCTTTTGATATCCCTTTCCAAAGCTAACACAGGCCATAAATTAGCCTGCAAACCCAAGGACATCTTACCTTTTGTGACAGGTTATCCCAGCCATGCAAAGTTAGTTTCCACCATGTCTTCCTCATTTAACTGTTTTCCTAGCCTAGTGGTTTCAATCCTGGCTACACATTATAATAACCTGGGGAATTTTAAAAACTACTAATACCTGGGTCCCTTCCTACTCCCATAGACCAAATGGTGCAGTGGTTTTCCAGAGTGGTCCCTGGGACCAGCGGCATCATCGTGGGAAACTTGTTAGAAATGCACATTCAAGGTTCTCACCCAGACCTGCTGAATCAGAATCGCTGATGGATGTGACCTAAAAAACTGTGCTTTTAGAAGCTCTCTGGGTTATTTGGTTCAAATTTGAGAACCACTGATCTAATGTTTTTCTGCATGACATTCACCTGCTATAGTTTTTTCTCACTATCTTGATGTAGTCCAAACCTCAACCCTGCACCGATATGTCACTCATTCCCTTACAGATATTTGAATAGGAATGTTTTTAAATTTCAATAATTAAAAACTGTTCTCACTCATATTCTAATAAAGATAGTATCTTCTGGATAAATCCCATTGAAAACCATGACCAGATGTTTGTTTGTTCTAAACATGTTTGGCCATTATGAATTACATCAAAGAAGATTCCTGCTGAGCCCTCTGTAACTTTCTGTGACCTGAGATATTGCACTCTTGATCTGGAAATTTGTTAATTAGCTACTCAGTCAGTCACTGTAGGTTTATTTTGCAGTAATAGGGACACGGCCGTGCACCAGGTTATTGGGATTTTAGATCCAGTAGGAGGCACAACTTTCTAGAAGTTTGTAATCATGGGGGCAGGAAAGACAGCTCAACAGGAAACCTCCGGCAGTAGATTGTGCTGGTTGGCTGGTTAATGTACTGTGTACTTTGTGATGTCTTAGTTCAGGCTGCCATAACAAAAATACCATAAGGACTGGGTAGCTTAAAAACAGAAATGTATTCCTTACAGATCCAAAGGCTGAGGAGTCCAAGATCAAGGCTGATTCTGTCTTATTGAGGGCCTTCTTCCTAGTTTGCAGATAGCTACCTTCTTGCTGTACCCTTGGATGACAGAGAGAAAGATAGTTTTTCATGTCTCTTCTTATAAGAGCGTGAATTCTAATCTACTCTCATGACCTAATCACCTCCCAAAGTCCCCAGCTCCTCATATAATCACATTGGAGGTTAGGATTTCCACATCTGAATTTGAGGGGGAGACAAGCATTCAGTTCATAACACTGAAGGGAATATTATTGGGACATGCAGCCTGCCAAAGTGATCAGTGCAAGAGTTCATATAGAAAAAGGTTTACCCCATAAATTCTGGGATCACGATACCTTGTATTTGTTGTGCCAATTATAGATATTTGTTAGATGGTATCTATCAACATGAGAGGCAGTGTTACCAAATTGGTTCGCAGCATAGTCTTTGTAGCCAGGGTGCCTGGCTCTATACTATTTACTAACTGTGTGATCTTGGGCAAGTCAGTTAACTGCTCATTGCCTAGATTTATCCACTTGTAAAACAGGAGTGGCAACAGTGCCTGTTTTATTGGGTAGTTGGCAGGTTTAATGAGTTAATGCATATGAAACACCCAAAACAGTGCTTGGCATGTGGAGGTGCTCAGTGTGTTTAGTTATTATTATCTAACAGATGCCCTTTCCTTTAAAGGGTTGCCATGAGGTCACCTGTCTTGAAGGAACTGTTTAACTCTGAAAACTTTAGGACTGAAAGGGAGTTAGGCAGTGAGATTACTATTGGAGTTTGTTTGTTCGTTAAAAGCATATCTAATAAGGTTTTACTAAAAGTTTCAAAGCCGTATTCATGTTTATTAACTTGGTAAACCTACTGACCATATTTAAAAAACAGAAATAAATAGTTCTGAATCTCTTCAGTGCAATTTAAAAACCCCCAAAGCTCTGAAAGCAGTAACATTTTGTAAACTTGGAGCTCCTCATTTGGCAATAAAAGCCTCACTTAATACGCATGAATTAGTTTTGTATTGCTGCTGTTAACTTTAGCTGCTTAAACCAATACACATTTATTATCTCATAGTTTCCATGGGTCAGAAGTCTGGGTACAGTGAAGCTCAGGTGGATTCTCTGCATAGAGTCTCACAGGCCTAAGTCATCTGGTCTACGCTTCTTTGTAGAGGCTCTGGAGAAGAATCTACTTCCAAGCCTTTTTAGGTTGTTGGCACAATTCAGTTCCTTGAGATTATAGCTGAGGCTCCCACTCCCTTGCTGGCTGTTGGCCCTGGATTGTTGCAGGCGCTGCCTGCATTCCCTGGGTGGTGATCCCCTTCCTCCACTTTCAAAGGCAACAGTGGTCAGTCAGGTCCTTCACAGGCTTTGAATCTCTCAAACCTCCCATTTTGCCTCATCTCTCTTCTGCTCTTATTCCACCATATCTTTCCCACCAAGTCTTCTGCCTTCCTCTTCTGCTTCTAAGGGCTTGTATTAGTCAGGGACAGGACTAATAGGATAGATGTATATATGAAAGAGAGTTTATTAAGGAGTATTGACTCACACAATCATAAGGTGAAGTCCCATAGTAGGCCATCTGCAAGCTGAGGAGCAAGGAAGCCAGTGCCAGTCCCAAAACCTCAAAAGTAGGGAAGCTGACAGTGCAGCCGTCAGTCTATGGCTGAAGGCCTGAGAGCCCCTGGCAAACCACTGGTGTATGTCCAAGGGTCCAAAAGCTGAAGAACTTGGAGTTTGATGTTTGAAGGCAGGAAGCATCCAGCACAGGAGGAAGATAGAGGCCGGAAGACTTAGCCAGTCTAGTCCTTTCAGGTTCCACTGCTTGCTTTTATCCTAGGCACACTTGCAGCTGATTAGATGGTGCCCACCCAGATTGAGGGTGGGTCTGCCTCTCCCGGTCCACTGACTCAAATGTTAATATCCTTTGGCAACACCCTTACAGACACACCCAGGAACAACACTTTGCATCCTTCAATCCAATCAAGTTGACACTCAATATCACAGGGCTCATGGGATTACATTAGACCCCTTCAGACAATGCAGGAGAATATCCCGATTTATCTATTTATTTTTTTGAGACAGGGTCTTGCTCTGTTGCTCAAGGTAGAGTGCAGTGGAACAATCTCAGCTCACTGCAACCTCCGCCTCCCAGGTGCAGGTGATTCTCCTGCCTCAGCCTCCCGAGTAGCTGCGACTACAGGTGCACGCCACAATGCCTGGCTAATTTTTGTGTTTTTAGTAGAGGCCGGGTTTCACTATGTTGGCCAGGCTGGTCTCGAACTCTTGACCTTGTAATCTGCCCACGTTGGCCTCCCAAAGTGCTGGGATTACAGGTGTGAGCCACCACGCCCTGCCGAGAGTCTCCCTATTTTAAAGTCAGCTGGTTAGTACCCCTGATTCCATCTGCAAAGTCTCTTCGTGCAGCACCCAAATCAGTGTTTGATTGAATAGGGAATAGGAATCTTGGGGGACATCTTGAGAATTCTGCCTACCGTAATACATTAGACTATTTATAGTCTTTACTTATCCCACTTAGCATGAACATCATTTGGTACAGAAATATTAATATGTTTGATTAAAAGTTGTTATCCTTCATTCTGCTGGGAGCATTGTGTAATATATGATGTGTGCATATCATTACCTTTCTAAAATTAAACAATTTCTCAACTCCAAAACACATCTGGCCCCGGGGTTGTTGAAGAGATTGTGGACACATTATAAAAAGTTACTGGTGAAAGATATTTTTGAAAGCATTTATTTTATATTTTAAAATACTGTGAAGTGGTACATGTGTAGCACCCACTACTTGAGAGAAAGTATGTTAGTGTGCTCTCCAGATTTAAATTTAGAGAACTAAAAGGGATATGGGAGACAGACTCATTATTTTAAAGATTCAGAAAAAGGTATCAATGTTACAGATAAGAAGGGAAAAAGATGGAAGATAACATTTATGAAACAGTATACTATTCACCTTATACACAATCACACAACATAGCTGTGTGTGGGTGTATGTGTCATTTAATCCTTATGATCTATGTGGGGTGTTATTTTCCCCATTTTACATGTGCTGGAATCAAGAATCAGGGAGACTCATTTGCCAAGGGTCACATGGCTAGTTAGCATGTGGAACTGGAATTTGAACTTTGTTCTGACTTTAAAAATCTGCTTTCTCTATTCATCGAAGAATGGTGGCAGATCTGGGATTTCAACTCTAATCTTCTGTGTCACCCTAAAAACACCCAGATAGTTGTTTTTAATACATAATTACAGATTTACAAGTACCTTTTGAAATATTTACAACATTTTAAAACTTAGAGGGGAAACTTACGATGCTTATTCTGTTATCAGAATTGATTTGGATTTATGATATCAGTTATACGGGATTAAAATTTTCCATTATTTCAGGATCTTTTAAAAAATTATTTAAACCTTAAGATTAGATTCTCAATTGAATATTTTATCCTTGGATAAATTCTTTATTAAAAATTATTTGCCAGCTTGGTGCAGTGGCACATACTTGTAGTTCCAGCTATTTGAGAGGCTGAGGTCGAAGGAGACTTGAGACCAGGAGCTCCAGGCTGTAGTGTTCCATAATTGCACCTGTGAATTAGACATTGTGCTCCAGCCTGGGCAATATAGTGAGAGCACATCTCTAAAAAAAAAAAAAAAAATTATTTGCCATAAAATTCCATCTCTCAAAATGACAGAGTTTACCAATATGACATTCATTATTAAATGCTGGAAATAATATATTTTCCAATAGTGGAATATGTCTACATTCAGTGTTAAGTAATCTCTCATTATTCTTTAGATATCTAGTTTGTTATTCCTTCTATATAAAATATTCTCTTTTGAAAAATAAACAGCTCCCCTGCTGTTTTATGTTTAAACTCCTCCTCACTGTTTTGGTCTCTGTTTTCTCCATGTAGTAAAGTGTTGACAGCAACAGTACAGAGAGATAAAAATATACATCAATTAGAGCAGCAAATCACAGTATAGAAGCTAAGTATTTTAGTTATGGCATGAGAAACACAGCTGTAATAAGTGTCTCAATAGGAATTTCTTTTGAATTGTTGCTAAAATTGTATTTCATTGTTTTTTATTTTATGATTGTCCTAGTGGATTAAAAAAACTGGAATAGGCATGCATATTCAGGATTGTGCATCATTTTGAAAAATAAATATGAAGTAAAGACTAGTTATTTTACTAATGTCTTCATTCTGTTTCTTTATTCTGTTTTTATAGCCACAAAGACAATATTCTAGTTTTGCATTATTTATTATAATAAATTTTTTAAAATCTTGGTTTTTCAGGACCAACTTTATGGTTCAACAAAATAAATTACAGCTTATATAACATTAATTCCTTAACAAAAATAACATTACAAATGAAGCTCTGAGATGGATACCAGTACTGATGATGAGAATATGAATATTTTTCCATTTAGACTGAAGCTTAGGAAAATTCATATTTTTTTCAGCAGGAATGAATACAATTTTATTAACTTATATGCTAGGAAGTAAAGAAGTGGAATGACTAAGAGGAGAGAACTAGGCTTTGTTTTCACCTTGGCCTTGAGGAAGGTTTCTGTCCATTTCTTTTGTTTGCTGTTTATGGTTTGCTTTTGTTTTATAGACAAATTCCAGCTCAGGCACTATGATTGCATTATCATGCAATTGTTTCTATCTTTTGGGGCTAAGAAGAATTGAGATTGGTTAGATTTTATGTGATATCCTCCCAAAAAGTTACCTCATACTCTGGTACATCTGTCTTTCAGACAAAAGGTATAGAAACACATGCAGGAAAATAGTATACAGGTTAAATATTTCTTATCCAAAATGCTTGGGGACAGAAGTGTTTGGATTTTAAATTTTTTCAGATTTTGGAAGATTTGCATATATATAATGAGATATCTTGGAAATAGCACCCAATTCTAAACGTGAAATTCATTTATATGTACCTTACAAACATAACCTGAAGGTAATTTTATACAATCATTTTGATAGTTTTGTGCATGGAACAAAGTTTGTGTTAAGCATTTTCATGTGGAATTTTACACTTGTAGTATCATGTTGGCATTCAAAAAGTTTTGAATTTTGGATTTTAGGGTTAGGAATGCTCAATCTGCATAAGCTTTTGGCCAAGACAGTATGAAAAGCAGTAGAAACTCAAAAGCTAATATTGAGGAATAAGTAATTATCTCTTATTTAGAGATCTGGTATATCATTGTCTCTTGAGAATGGGATCAAGGCTCCCTAATTTTATAGGCCTGTGTTTATATCTGGGGAGTGTGCTTATTCCAAAATGAGAGGATGGCATTTTGAGGTTTAAGGTCAGAACTGATTGTGGCCCACTGTGTGCTGCCACTTCATAACTTTGTTTTTAGGATAGTGGTTATTTCCTCCTTGGCATGGTGGCCTAATAATGCCTATAATTCTCCTGTTACTAGCAGGTGAGAACTAGCAAGGTGAGACAAGCAGGAGCAAGCATACTGGAAGTTTCTATAACATGTTTATAGGAAAGTAAAACTTAAGATTGAGTAGGGATATAAAAGACCCAGGCTTGAGTTGCAGCTCTGTAATTTACTAGTTACATAACCATGGCCATGCTGTGTCATCTCTCTGGAGGTCAGGGTTTTTTTTTACTTTAAAATGGCAAATGTTCTTGTTCTGCTTGACCTGGCAGAGTTGTTGCAAAAGCCTAATGTTATAAACTTTGCCAAGTAGTCAAATATGATGCATATCATTTGGGAATCTTTCAGTTGCAAATAACAAAAATTTAACTCAAATTTGCAAAAGAAAAAGGAATTTATTGACTTGTGACGGAAATCCAGCGTAGTTCTGGTTTTTGGTCTCTAGGACTCTGTTGCTCTCTATCTTTAGTTTCTAGCTCAATGTGTCTGGCTAGGATACCTTCAAGCATCATTTCAGTAGGGAGGACTGCCCGCCTCTGTCCTAGTGTATCACTGAGTCTCACTGTCTGGAACCAGCTTCGAGTGAATCACAGGCCCATTCCTGTGGCATCCTAACCAGGAAATATGGCATGGCCCTTGGCTGAGACTGGGTGCACGCACACTGGGAGCTGGGTGTGGAATCCATCCCTCCCAAACCATGTGAGCTGAATGTGAGGGAGGGGTGATTTCCCCTTTACCAGCATCAGGGAATACGATGCCACAAGAACAGCTGATCACTAAACAAGATACTGTTATTTCTTTCTCTGTGACAAAAATGTTTAATGGCTTAAAAGGAAAGAATAAATAATAGTTGGTGGGCATTCATAAAGTAAAGAAAGAATCATATTTCAAAGGGAGATTATATTTAATAAGCCAGAGAGGAAAAAGACCAGAAATTTAATGAGGACAGATCAGTACAAGGATCTGGGTGAAGAAGAACCTTTTCCTTTATGCACCTTGGAGGAGAGTCATCATAGTTAGTGATACTAACCTCCACTGTATTGGGTGACCATTTTATAAGACTGTTTTCACTTCCTCCTTGATCCTGACCCAAGACATAATTCATTTTTAAGAAGGCTGGCCTCAGTCTAAAGGAATGGGATTAGGAAAACTTCATGCTTAGATGAAGTAAGAGGATGTAATTTGTGAAGTGTTAGAACCTTAGTAAAAACTGGCAATTCTTTGTCAGAAATGTATATGTTATTGTCAGAAAAGTAGCTACACAAATTGTGAAATGAATTCTGTTTTTCAGTGACTAACTGGGATCAGAATAAAAAGAGTTGAAGCAGGGAAAATTATGAAAACGCTAATAAAATTTTATCTGGGAAAGGCAGACAGCTGCAGGAGGCATGTTGTTGCTGCCCCTGAGGAGAGCAGGGAATCATAGGAGATCTGGAATAAAAAAACTTAAAAGGAAGAAAGTTAAACAGCTAAAACTCAGGAAATAAGCTGTCAATTTAAAATTGCCCTCTTTGTTCCAGAAACTTTATATTCATTATCTCATTTAAACCTCATGATAATTCTATTTTACAAATGAGGAAACTCAGGCTTAGAGGAGTTAAATAACTTGCTCAGGGTTCTACAATTGCTTAATATAAGAAGTGGGGCTTTAACTGGGAATCAAGAGGCTCAGTGGTGCTGCTGCTGCTGCAACTCAGGTATTCCCTGAAACTTATTAGAAAATAGAGTGAATTTTATACATTTAGGTTCTCCCCCCAAATTTGATGTATCCTGAGAGAATCACACTGAATTTTTTTTCAAAAGACAGAATTACATGTCAGAATTAAGAAAGATATTGTGAAATATTTAGCTATTTCAAATTTGGGAAGCAAAGAGAAGACAGATTTCAATCTCCAAATGGAGGGCAGGGAATCTTGTTCTTTAAGAAAAGGAAACTCTGAGTCAAAAGACGAGTATTTTCAGAAACCTTAAAAAAACTTGTCACTGTTGAATGGCAACTGGTATTTCTTGAGATGATTTTAAATGTTCCTAAAAAAAGTTTCTAAGGCCAGAAAAGTTTGGGAAAAGCTCTGCATTATATCTGCCTCTTGGACTCATATATAGACGAACATATGGAACCAGGGAAATTGCCCTTGCTCTACCGAGTCTCAAGTGAGCACTCAGGAATGAACTGGCTTGTTACTGGTTACTTGCACCTGGTGGAAAAGTACACTCAAGGCCTGACTCTGCAGAACAGTTAGGAGGATCTCAAAAGAAAGATATTTAAAAAGACCTGAAAATCTAAATGGATCTTTAACCATGTAAGCAGAAGCGTCAGTAGCTGGAGCCTTCTTGGGGATTTGAAGTCCTGGGAAGCTGACTTCCTTTCTTGGGAGTACTGCTGCATTGCCTGCACTAAGAGGCTTCTTCAGGCAGTGGAGACCTGTAACCATTTTCCTGTAATTTGGTACCTGTTAGTCTATCAGCTCAGTGACAAATGCCCACATGTTAAAAGCTCTGAGAACTCCTAAGATGAAGAAACTTGCTTAATGCAGCATTTCATAAACTTCCTTGGTCATTTGCTTTTAGCATCTTTTGGACCATAGTTAGGGGAATAAGGCTCAAGATATGACCAGGGTCAGATTATTACCTTTGAGGGCCAAAGTACTGAAGAGAGAATGGTGGCTTTGCCAAATGTAACTCAAAATAATAGAACACTACATTATAAACTAAGTTAAAGAAGTCTCACAAGGTTCTAATTTTCTAAATGATGAAAGCACTTAGCATTTACCATGCCAGGCACTGTTCCAAGAACTTCCAATATATAAATGTGTTCAAAACTCACAAAAAGCTTAAGTAAATTGTGTAAGGCCACCCCTGGAATATGTGCTAGAACTGAGATTCAGAAAGAGACAGTTTGAGGCCAGAAAACTGAAAAATTTATTTCAGCTTTTCACATTATTAGTAATGTAAATTTTGTGGATTTTAGTCAAATTTGGGAAAACCTCTGTCATAATGCACTCTAAGATTTTATGGCATTTCAAGTTTTGAGGGGACAGTGAATGATCTTAAATACTCTTAAACAATATGTATTTTGCCTCTCAGATTAATGATTTTGATGCTTCTGAAGAAAATGACATTTTTTCCAAATAATTTTTTCTCTCATTTTCTTGATGGAGAGGGTCTTGATTTTCCAGAGCCCTAATTGTCAGTGTAGTTTGACTTTGGATAATCCAGCACTAAATGTGAGAATTTAATGCTATATTATTATAAAACGCTAAGTGTGCTGGGCATAGAGGTGCATTCTTGTAGTAGTCCCAGCTGTTTGGGGGGCTGAGATGGGAGGATCGCTTAAGCCTAGGAGTTCAAGGCCAACCTGGGCAATATAGGGAGACCCTATCTCCAAACAAAACACACACACACAAACAAATAATTGTGCCCTGTGTTCACCCACTCACTCCCCATTAAATTTGTGTATTATAGGGATAGGAGATTTCCTGAGCTGGTTGCCAGGAAAGAGATTTGGAACAGGTGCAACTCTTTAACATACTGAAAAACAATATAAGACTGTGATCTGGATGTCAGGGCCAGGGGAGGTGGGGAGCATTCTGGGCATTGCAGGGGTAGTGGAAGCTATCTGGATAAGCAGATGGTTCCTATGGAGTAGGCAGATTTTGGAGGCTGCAGGCCCAGTGCTATCACCATCACAGTGGGATCTACTACCTTCAAACAATTTTAGCTTTAAGGCAGCAGCAAAGTGTTCTTTCCATACCCAAGCAGTTCTTGTGGAGGTTTGTATCAGTATATTGACAGGCTCAGATCTTGATCCTATGACAAGATGGATGTGAGCTCACAGAGACCAGTGAGCACCTATTATACACAGATGCTTAAGGTGGGTGGATGAAGGGATTGGGCAGAGAGAGATGCTAAATCTGTCACATTAACCGTATTTCACTAATGTAGGCTTAACTTGGAATTTTACTAATATGATACAAGGCTAGGTCCAGGGTTGAATCCAGGTTCATTAGGCCTGAAAATCATTTAATTTTAAGGGATACTTTTAAGAAAAAAATATAAAATTATGATTACAAAGTTAAGTATGGAGATATTTATAACTAATGAAAAAAGAAGTAATAACATTTTTAAAAGCTGACAAGTACCACAAAAACCTACATATATAACATAAATACCACAAAAACCTAGAAATATAACATTTAAAAATGAATTGCTTGATACACTACTGTAATATTTCATTATAATTTATATGCTGTGGCTGCATACTTTCTAATCATTTCTCTTAAGGTAATAGTCATTTTGAAATATCACTGTCTAGCTTTTGAATGTGTTTGCTCTTGCTTTTCTAGTTCTTTTAATCACTTCTTTTTTCATTAGTTATAAATATATCCATGCTTAACTTTGTAATTATAATTTTATATTTTTTTCTCGACACATACACTCTCCCAATACTAAACCAGGAAGAAGTTGAATCTCTGAATAGACCAATAACAGGATCTGAAATTGTGGCAATAATCAATAGCTTACCAACCAAAAAGTGTCCAGGACCAGATGGATTCACAGCCGAATTCTACCAGAGGTGCAAGGAGGAACTGGTACCATTCCTTCTGAAACTATTCCAATCAACAGAAAAAGAGGGAATCCTCCCTAACTCATTTTATGAGGCCAGCATCATCCTGATACCAAAGCTGGGCAGAGACACAACCAAAAAAGAGAATTGTAGACCAATATCCTTGATGAACATTGATGCAAAAATCCTCAGTAAAATACTGGCAAACCGAATCCAGCAACACATCAAAAAGCTTATCCACCATGATCAAGTGGGCTTCATCCCTGGGATGCAAGGCTGGTTCAATGTATGCAAATCAATAAATGTAATCCAGCATATAAACAGAACCAAAGACAAAAACCACATGATTATCTCAATAGATGCAGAAAAGGCCTTTGACAAAATTCAACAGCCCTTCATGCTAAAAACTCTCAATAAATTAGGTATTGATGGGACGTATCTCAAAATAATAAGAGCTGTCTATGACAAACCCACAGCCAATATCATACTGAATGGGCAAAAACTGGAAGTATTCCCTTTGAAAACTGGCACAAGACAGGGATGCCCTCTCTCACCACTCCTATTCAACATAGTGTTGGAAGTTCTGGCCAGGGCAATTAGGCAGGAGAAGGAAATAAAGGGTATTCAATTAGGAAAAGAGGAAGTCAAATTGTCCCTGTTTGCAGATGACATGATTGTATATCTAGAAAACCCCATTGTCTCAGCCCAAAATCTCCTTAAGTTGTTAAGCAACTTCAGCAAAGTCTCAGTATACAAAATCAATGTACAAAAATCACAAGCATTCTTATACACCAATAACAGACAGAGAGTGAAATCATGAGTGAACTCCCATTTACAATTGCTTCAAAGAGAATGAGATACTTAGGAATCCAACTTACAAGGGATGTGAAGGACCTCTTCAAGGAGAACTACAAACCACTGCTCAATGAAATAAAAGAGGATACAAACAAATGGAAGAACATTCCATGCTCATGGGTAGGAAGAATCAATATCGTGAAAATGGCCATACTGCCCCAGGTAATTTATAGATTCAATGCCATCCCCATCAAGCTACCAATGCCTTTCTTCACAGAATTGGAAAAAACTACTTTAAAGTTCATATGGAACCAAAAAAGAGCCCGCATTGCCAAGTCAATCCTAAGCCAAAAGAACAAAGCTGGAGGCATCAAGCTACCTGACCTCAAACTATACTACAAGTCTACAGTAACCAAAACAGCATGGTACTGGTACCAAAACAGACGTATAGATCAATGGAACAGAACAGAGCCCTCAGAAATAACGCCGCATATCTACAACTATCTGATCTTTGACAAACCTGAGAAAAACCAGCAATGGGGAAAGGATTCCCTATTTAATAAATGGTGCTGGGAAAACTGGCTAGCCATATGTAGAAAGCTGAAACTGGATCCCTTCCTTACACCTTATATAAAAATTAATTCAAGATGGATTAAAGACTTAAACGTTAGACCTAAAACCATAAAAATCCTAAAAGAAAACCTAGGCATTACCATTCTGGACATAGGCATGGGCAAGGACTTCATGTCTAAAACACCAGAAGCAATGGCAACAAAAGCCAAAATTGACAAGTGGGATCTAATTAAACTAAAGAGCTTCTGCACAGCAAAAGAAACTATCATCAGAGTGAACAGGCAACCTACAAAATGGGAGAAAATTTTTGCAACCTACTCATCTGACAAAGGGCTAATATCCAGAATCTACAACGAACTCAAACAAATTTACAAGAAAAAAACAAACAGCCCCATCAAAAAGTGGGCAAAGGACATGGACAGACACTTCTCAAAAGAAGACATTTATGCAGCCAAAAAACACATGAAAAAATGCTCATCATCACTGGCCATCAGAGAAATGCAAATCAAAACCACAATGAGATACCATCTCACACCAGTTAGAATGGCAATCATTAAAAAGTCAGGAAACAACAGGTGCTGGAGAGGATGTGGAGAAATAAGAACACTTTTACACTGTTGGTGGGACTGTAAACTAGTTCAACCATTGTGGAAGTCAGTGTGGCGATTCCTCAGGGATCTAGAACTAGAAATACCATTTGACCCAGCCATCCCATTACTGGGTATATACCCAAAGGACTATAAATCATGCTGCTATAAAGACACATGCACACATATGTTTATTGCAGCACTATTCACAATAGCAAAGACTTGGAACCAAGGCAAATGTCCAACAATGATAGACTGGATTAAGAAAATGTGGCACATATACATCATGGAATACTATGCAGCCATAAAAAATGATGAGTTCATGTCCTTTGTAGGGACATGGATGAAATTGGAAATCATCATTCTCAGTAAACTATCGCAAGGACAAAAAACCAAACACCACATGTTCTCACTCATAGATGGGAATTGAACAATGAGAACACATGGACACAGGAAGGGGAACATCACACTCTGGGGACTGTTGTGGGGTGGGGGTAGGGGGTATAGCATTAGGAGATATACCTAATGCTAAATGACGAGTTAATGGGTGCAGCACACCAGCATGGCACATGTATACATATGTAACTAACCTGCACATTGTGCACATGTACCCTAAAACTTAAAGTATAATAATAATAATAATAATAAAAAGAAAAAAAAGAAAAAAAAAGAAATATCACTGTCTATACTGAGAATATAGAGATCCAAACTTTCCAGTTAGCATGGTTGTTTCAAATTTATTTTCAATTATTGATAGTTCAGAAAAATTTATTTCAGCTTTTCACCCTGTTATTAGTAATGCAAATTTTGTGGATTTTAGTCAAATTTGGGAAAACCTCTGTCATAGTGCAGTCTAAGATTTTATGGCATTTCAAGTTTTGAGGGGACAGTGAATGATCTTAAATACTCTGAATTAATGACCCCCATGACACAGTTTGTTATCACTGTCCTCATTCATTAGGATACCAACAGTTTTGCATTAGCTTCATTGATGTCAGTATTTCACAAGTCAGTCAGAAATTTAAATTTTCTGGTATGCTCGTATGATTAACTTCTCTTCATAATTAGATTGTTAAACAACCCAAGAGCTTATTCATTAATTTCAATTGGTTACGTGGCCATTTTTTGTCACTTTTGTTTCATAGTTCATTAATTTTTTGTCTGAATTATTTTATTTTAGTTGTTTAATGAATTTTTTCCAAAATTACAAAAGAAGTAGTCTTTGCTGTATATAGAAATCAGGCATCATAATTTTTCACTAATTTTTTTGAAATGCCTTTTAAAATCATAGTTAAAATAGTGTATTCAAACTTCACCAAATATGCTATTCTAATAAAAAAAAGTGCATTTATATTGATTTTATTTTTGACAGGAGTGCACTTTGAATTTTGATTAGGTGTCTGTGATAATGGAATTCTCTGCTTATTATTTTAGACATCTGGTGACTGGAAAAATTTTCCATAGACTAGCTTCTATTTTAAACCTTTTATCCCTACTACCCTATCCTTCAGTTGGAGGCATCATGGGGTGCATCCCTGTGGTAAGAGGTCTTTGGCCCTGCACCTTGTTTTGTTGATTGAGTCAGCACAGTGGGCTCTAAGAATGTATCTGGATGTCATTTCTACACTGCTAAGGCCAGCAGTAACTTTACTGTACACAATAGTGATGTGAACCACGTAAGTGTTTCCGTAACTCTACTTTTCATTTGTCTGAATGCCAAAAATGTCTACAACCATTCCAACCCGTTATGGTTGAATTTCTCTCTTTTTTTTTTTCAAATATAAATAGAACCATGTGAACATATTGCTAGGGTCTCTCTATAGAACTTGTAAGGGAACTGTCCTTGGAAGAGGCTCTTAGGTTCTTGGTGAGCCTACTTCTGGCTATGTTTCACTTGGAACAGATCACCTAAAGAACCGTGAAAGGACAGGCCATGGAACACTGGCTATAAGGTGCCAGAACTGACCTAAATTTCAAATGTGTCTGATAAAATTATCACAGGTTTTTCATCTGAAATGGTTGTTTATGAATTTGCTTTAAGACTTTTTTTGCAGGTGATGGACACCCGCTTTTAACTAGTTATGGCTTTGGTAGAAAGAATTTACTGGCTCGGGTAACAAACCACTGGAAGGTAAGCAGGTTGGAAGTAGCCTAAAGGTCGCCTGGATTTATATATTCGAACAGTGTCATATCTGTTAATCTGTTTCTTTCTTTTCCCATCTCTCTTTTTCTATGTTAGTTTTATTCTCTACTCCTGAAAAAGGCCTTTTTCTTAAAAAATGATTGCAGGCAGTGTGGGGTTCTATAGTCTGAAAGGCCTAAAGGAACTTCTTTTCCAGCTCCTAGTGGGAACACCCTTGGAATGACTCTGGCCAGCTTGGGTGATGTGCCCACCTCAACTTTTCCGTGTCTCTCCATGAGTCTAGCAAGTGATAGAACATTGTGATTGGCATGTGGTGGGTTGGAATAGAAGAGCAGGTCCCCCAGAAAAGCAGGGTGTCATTTTGGTAAGTCAAAACCATAATTGTCCACTGTAGTAGCTGAGGCCAAGGCTTGGTGTGGAGGTGGCATGGAAGTCATCAACTGATGAAACCTACTGTGTGGGGTGCCACTCCTCGTGTATACAGTAACTTATCCCCATTTTGAAGATAATTTAGGCACAAAATTCACTCTAAGTCTCAGAAAGTGTAATTTTTTGTGATTAGTAAATGTGGTGTGCTTTTTAAAGTATGTGATGGCATATTAAGAGTTAATTCACACAGTCCTTCATTAAAGTGTCAGTAAAATGGGACTGAATTAGTTCTAAAAAGCATTCAGGGCTCTGACCCATTTAACTTGGAATATAATTAGGAAAGCTAGTAGTTGAGAAAGGGATCAGAGGGCTCAGAAACTTTCAGAAGCAACACTGTTAATGTTTACACTAAAATGGTAAAAAGGCAATGTTTAAATCTAAAACTATTATTGATTTAAACTCATTAAGACAATTGATATTGAACATTGAAATTAAAAACACTGCCTGTAATCCCAGCACTTTGGGAGGCCGAGGCGGGCGGATCACAAGGTCAGGAGATTGAGACCATCCTGGCTAATGGGGTGAAACCCGTCTCTACTAAAAATACAAAAAATTAGCCAGGCATGGTGGCAGGCACCTGTAGTCCCAGCTACTTCAGAGGCTGAGGCAGGAGAATGGCGTGAACCCGGCAGGCAGAGCTTGCAGTGAGCCGAGATCGCACCACTGCACTCCAGCCTGGGTGACAGAGCGAGACTCAATCTCAAAAAAAAAAAAAAAAGAAAAACACTGCGTTTTTGTTCTTCCTGCATTTTTGTTCTTCCTAAGTCAACTTGTTGGAGAATATTAATAGTTGGCAATATGTGTCTTTAGAGGGAAGATGAGTGGTGAACCCTGAAAGTAACCCTTCATCTCACTCTGTAAGGTGTTTCTTTCTCTTTCTCTCTCTCTCTCTCTCCGCCCCCCACCCCCCAACCTTTCTCTCTAGCTTCTTTCAAGATTTTCTCTTTGTCTTCGGTTTGCTGCAGTTTGAATGATACACCTAGGTGTAGATATTTTGGTATTTATTCTGTTTGGTGTTCTCTGAGCTTCCTGGATCTGTGGTTTAGTCATTAACTTTGGAAAATTCTTGACTGTTATGATTTCAAATATTTCTTCTTTGTTTTCTCTTGCTTGTTTTTATGCTATTCTAATTATGCATAAGTCACACCTTTGGAGATTGTCCCATAGTTCTTAGTAGAGTATTGTGTTCTGTTTTTTTTTCTTTTTTTTTTTTGTCCTTGCATTTTAATCTGAGAAGTTTTTGTGGACATAGCTTCAAACTCACTGATTCTTTCCTCAGTTGTGTCCAGTCTACTGATGAGCCTATCAAAGGCATTCTTCATTTCTGTTAACAGTGTTTTTGACTGCTAACTTTTCCTTTTGATTCTTTCTTAGAATTTTTCTCTCTCTGCTTACATTATTCATCAGCTCTTGGATGTTGTCTACTTTTTCCACTAAAGCCTCTAACCTAGTAATCATAAATTCCCTGATAGTTCCAAAATCTATGTCATGTTGGAGTCTGCTTTTGATGCTTGCTTTGTCTCTTCAGACTGTTTTTTTTCTTGCCTTTTAACATGACTTCTAATTTTTTGTTCCAAGCTGGACATGATATATCAGATAATAGGAGCAAAGGTATATAGGTCTTGAAATGTTTGGTTTGATGTTAATCTGGCTAGTTGTGCAGTTTTAATGATTGCTTTAGCTGTAGGTGCCAGAAGTTTCAGGTACTTCTAATGTTCTTGTTTTAATTTTCCTTGTTGAGTTTGTGAAAACCTAAGACCTTCTTCTTAGAGTCTACACCTTGCAGCCCTTTCAGCTGTAACCCGTGAATATTATACTAGAGCCCTAGAGCCCTGTTCATGTGCTGGTAAGGTATGGAGGAAGAGCAAGTGTTCTATAATTTAATGATTAAATCTCAGTCTTTTAAGTAGGCTCATCCCTCTGCTGTGACCTTCACAGTGTTTCTGAACTATCCCCCTCACTCCCTTTGCTGAGACTAGAAGGCTAGAGGAGTCTGTAGTTGGGGAAATGCTCTTCTGTTAGGTAGGATAAAGTTCTGGTGAAGTCCTTCCCTGTGGAGAGTAGCCGTTTGTTCTGGGGAATGTTCCAGGTGTATTTCATGTAATTCATATTGGTTACTTTTCCTCTTTCCCTCTAGAGCCAAGGACTCGGGGGACCAGGGAAATCTTCACCATGAGAACATGGTAAAGTTCCCGGAGGCAAAACTCTCAAAAGTATGGGAACGCCCCCTAAGACTGGAATCCCCAGATGTCTCTCATGCTTATGTTAGTCCACAGTCAGCCTCCAGCAAAGCATCAAAGCCATTACCCAAGTCTTCCACCAATTTATAGCATCCAGTAGCTTCTGCTCCAGATAAACTGATCTTAGCTATTATTCTCTATGTTCACCTGTTTTTCCAGATTTTGGGGTGGCAGTTTGCCCTGTGACTCTGTTCTCTGATAGGTTCAAGAAAAGTCATTGATTTTTAGTTTGCTCAGCTTTTTTTCCTTGTGAAAATGAGGGTAATGACTTCTAAGCTCCTTACATGCTGGAACAGAAACTGGAAAACTTTATATTTTCAATAGATTATATTTTTTCTGAACTTTCTTATTAATTTTCATTTTTTGTCACAGAGTCTTGCTGTGTCACCCAGGCTGGAGTGCAGTGATACAGTCATAGCTAACTGCAGCCTCAAAGTCCTGGGCTCAAGGGATCTTCCCGCATCAGCCTCCTGAGTAGCTAGGATTACAGGTACACAGCACCATGCCTGGCTAAATTTTTTATTTTTATTTTATGTAGTCAGGGTCTTGCTCTGTTGCTCAAGCTGGTCTCAAACTCTTGGCCTCAAGTGATCCATGCCTTGCCTCCCAAAGTGTTGGGATTACAGGCGTGAGCCACCATGCCTGGCCATTTCTTGAACCTTCTGAATGTTATATGGAAATGAGTGATTTTCACTGATGTTAGTATGTTCATACTCATAGGAAAAGTGTTTCCCACACTCATGTTTCAACTTTACTAGAGTGTAAGGTTGATGATGAGAGCGATTTGTCTCGATTCTTTACCCAAATGACGTGAATTATAGGTACTCAAAAATATTCATGGAAAGGATAAATATTAGTTGTATCTGAGTACCACTATCTTTTTTCTTGAAATTAATTCCCTTTTAAAATCTTAAATACCTACTACCCTCTCCTTCTAAGGAGTAACATCTATGAAATCATAGGTTTGATATGCTAATTGTCTATTTTTTTCTGATATATGTTAGTATGATTTCCTAAAGATTAGACTAAAAGTTTCCTAAAATCATCCCGTATCTATCTAGTGGCATATGTACCCATGATGGAAAACACTCCTCTAAGCTGATGAATAACATGTAGCTGTATACTGATTTTTATGGGTTCTGTCAAAAATTAGCTGTTAAACAAAAACACATTGTCCCAAGTAGGGCAGGACAGAGTCTTTCTGATTCTGCATAGGCGTGACAATATAATGGGCCCGATGCTGCTTCTATTCTAGGAAGGTTCAACTTTCTCCCAACTCCCCATCATAAACTTTTTCATATTTTATTGCACCATTCTTTAAATCTGAAAGGTAGGTGAGGAAGTTTTTTCAGCAGGCACATTGTCAAGAAGTTATATACTTTTGACTGGGTGAAGTGGCTCATACCTGTAATCCCAGCACTTTGGGAGGCTGAGGCGAGTAGAGCACCTGAGGTCAGGAATTTGACACTAACCTAGCCAACATGGCAAAAACCCGTCTCTACTAAAAATACAAAAATTAGTCAGGGGTGGTGGCAGACACCTGTAATCCCAGCTACTCAGGAGGCTGAAGCAGGAGGTAAAAAAGAAAAAAAAGTTATATACTTTCTGGCAACACTGGGCCCTCTAAGAATTTGCCACATCAAACTGAGAAGTTGCTTTGAGAGCTTTCTGGCAGAAGGAGCTTTTGCAGAGGTCACGTTTACCAAGTCATCATTCCATTGAGATATGTGGTATTCTAGTGATTCCCAAATGCTGATCCTCAGATTGGCTGCAGCAGAATCACTTGGATAACTTTCGAAGAAATGATTCCTAAGCTAAGTCCCACCCACAGAGATTCTGAGTAGATCTGGTGGAGGAAGCCTGGGAATCCACAGGTTTGTAGAACTCTCCAGGTGATTCTGCTACAGAGCCATGACGCCGTATGCTCTAGTCTATGCAGTGATCATTGATACAGGGTAGAACTTTAAGAGTTCAACATACACTGACATTTCTTCTCATCTTGAATAAAGTAACAAAGGTTTAATAAAGAGAAAAAGAAATGGATTGTGGATACTAAATAATACCTTTGTTCTGAAGAAGACAATGAAAAGAACTTTAACAACCATTTAAGAAGCAGTTAGGGGTTAAAGATGATTGAGTTGATTTGAACCCTAATAAGTGTTATCTGTTGATTGGAGAGCACTTAATAAATATTAATTATGAAGTAAATAAATTTTACCTTGCTATTCCAGAGGTAGAAAGAGAATAGTAAAATGCTTAAATAATTACCCCACTTCATGCCATATTATAGCAAAATAAAGCAACTGTGGATTCTGTCTCTGCTCATGTAACCAGGCTGTATTCACCATCCCTGCTGCCCTTAGTTGTACATTTGGAATCAATCATCACAGGCATGCATAGCTGCAAGCATGTGGTTTCAGGAAAGAGGTTCAGAAAAGCTAAGTGGTAAAAGGAATATGGTTTGATCAAATAAAAAAGCTGCATTCATGAAACTGGAGGAGGAGATGGAAACAGACCTCCAAACATCACATTTTATCTTAGTACGTTAAATGTCTTTTTACCAAAGCCAAGCAAAGCCCAGAAAATACTAAAAGCTTGGCTTCAGAAGCCAGGCAGCTTGGATTTTTCTTGGATGCCCTATGTTCCAACAAATGATGAAGTTTAATATTCTCATATATTGTTCTTTTATTACTAATTTAAGAACCTACATTTCATTTTGCGTAGTGAAATTTGTGGGGAGCAGAGGCATTATTGTGTTTTCTCTTTGAGTTTTTGTTTTTGATTAAAGTTATGTATTTACATTTTTTAGTGAATTAATTTGTGGTACACTTTTCCCATGAGACAACTGCTTTCAAATCCTTCTTTTTTTTTAATTTTTCTTCATATAACAAATGTATATATGAATGACTGAACTACAAAATATTATTTTCCTTTTCCCTAAAGCTGTATTTCTCAAGGTATATTTTCTGATTGCTTTCACTGGAATTGGCTGATATGATTATTACAAATGAGGAGTCCTGGGTCCCATTCCAGACCTAATAAGTCAGACTTGCTAGTGTATGAGTTCTAGGCATTTGTATTTTAAACAATCTCTGAGTAATCTTCATGCAAATTGAAGTTTGAAAGTCACTTCCCTAAAGCTTCTTGATTTTTTTCTAGGAATGTAACATTTTCTAATTGTATTTCTGTTTTCATATCCATTGTCATTTGGTTAGGGTCCTATCTAACAAATGTTTAACTTTTACCAATGACGTTAGTACAAACAAGGCAAAGTAGTAAGTTTACCCTTTCTAGAACAATGGGAAATGTCCCTAGAGACTGAAATCTGAGTCCTAGATGTGCTTAGTGCTATTGAGTTAATGCTTCTAGTTCCTTTTAGTGGACAAATTTGAAAATTATGTTATTTTTGAATTAGAATTATTAATGCGTACCTTATAATTTGTTAAACTTTATATATGTCTTTTTTTCTTATGTGAAAATTTATACTTCCTAAAAACAGTAACATAATGATTTTGTGCTAATTGTAAAACCACTGTATGATGTTTAAGATTACCTTGCATCTCCTTTGGATCTTAGAATATTTCCCACTAAGGAACTGTAGTCAAAGTAGTATGCTCTGTGTTCTCACTCATATGTGGGAGCTAAAAAAAGTTGAGCTCATAAAAGTAGAGAGGATAATTGTGGTTGATAGAGACTGAGAAAGGTAGTGGGAAGGGAAGGATAAGGAGAGGTTGGTAAATGGATACAAAATTACAGCTAGGCCAGCATAGTGGTTCATGTCTGTAATCCCAACACTTTGGGAAGCTGAGGCAGGAGTATTGTTTGAAGCCAGGAGTTCAACACCAGCCTGGGCGTTATACTGAGACCTTGTCGCTACAGAAAACTAAAATATTAGCCAGGCATGGTGGTAGGCACCTGTAGTCCCAGCTTCTTGTGAAGGCTGAGGCAGGAGGATTGCTTCAGTCCAGGAGCTTGAGGCTGAAGTGAGCTATGAGCGCACCACTGTACTCCAGCCTGGGTGACAGGCCTAGGTAACAGAGTGAGACCCTGTCTCTAAAAATAAAAATTAAAAATAAAAAAATACAAATTTACAGCTAGATAAGAGGAATAAGTTCTAGTGCTTTATAGCACCGTAGGGTGAATATATTTAACGATAATTTATTGTATATTTTGAAAAATCCAAAGAAGAGGATTTTGAATGTTCCCAACACAAAGAAATGGCAAATGTTTAAGGTGATGGATATGTTAATTACCTGATTTGATCATTACACATTGTATACATATCAGAATGTCACTGCATCCCATAAATATGTATAATTATTATGCGTCAACTAAAAATAAAAGGACAAAAGTACTATGCTGTGTCAGTAACTTAAAATACTTAAAATAAGTTACCTTAAATACTTACTCTCTCTGAATAGTTTTATTATCAATTTGCTATATATGTAGGTTTATTCATTTTAGTTTGTTTTCACCTAGGGCTGGCACTTTTTCTTTTTGATTAAATTTAATTCTTGAAATATATGAGGCATATGCATGTCCAAAATGATATAAAATATATAAAGTATGTACTCAGAAGTTTTATTTACTTCTATTCCTTCCACCTAGTTTCTACGTCCATCTCCTGTATAAGTAACCATTTTTATTAATTTCTAGCTTTTCCTTTCACTGTTTCTTTGTAAAAAATGCAAGCATATGTGTGTGTGTATATATATATATGTGTGTGTATATATATGTGTGTGTGTGTATAAATACATACATATATATACATATATATCTTCCTATTTCTCTTCAGTTTTTCACAAAGAATAAAAAAAAATTTGTTTTACATTTTTTTTCTCCACATACAGATATGGGAAATGAAGGAAAACCTTCACAAAGTACCACATTCTTCTCGACTCCCCAAAGACTCTGTGATGGTCCCATTGAGTTACTAGTTCATCTTGTTCTTAGGTCCTCTCTTGTTTCAGGTCTAAACCAGACCCTTTAAGAAAGATCTGTTGTTCAAGGTCAGTATTAATTATCCCATGTTAATGAAAATGACCTGAAAAATCACATAGTGTATCCTGTTTGTGGGCTAATTCATTTGTAGATTATCTAAACAATATTGATATTAAGTGGCCAAGAAAGAAGTGGTTTTGCCTTCCTTTTTTGTCCTTTGAAAATAAAAGGTCCAGATGTAGCACCCAGAAACCACCGTTCTCTTTGTTGTTTCATGTTGTTTGAGATGCCACAGTGTCTTTTTCTTTTTTTCTTCCTTAAAACTTTGTTAATAACAATTAAAAAGGAGTGTCATTATTGGACTCCTCTGTGAGGAACCTTTTATTTTGTAAGTAAATAATATGAGAAAATCTAGATTTTTTTTCCCCCATTACTGTTCTACCAAAGTAGCATTTCACACTGAGTAGAGCAGGAAAACATAGTAGGTGTATAAAAAACAAAGAAGCCAAATCTAATAAAATAGATGATGGAATTGGAATTTGGGTAGAAATATAAAGCATCTGCTTTATTCCTTATTTGCAACATTTGTTGACAATAAGGCACATTGTGAAGAAAGAAACCAATCTTTCCAAGAAGATTTTGCAATTGAACTCACTCTTTAAGATTCCCAATGGTATGTTCGCTTCCTATTTTACTGCTTATGGCACACAAAAGTGAGAACATGAAAATCCCTGGAGATCAAATGTTGTTTAAATTGTTTCTTAGCAGTGAATAATGGCTCCTTAGGAATAAATATGTGCATTTTACATGGCAATCTATAGGAGGCAAATTGCATACTTAATTTCTGAGAAATAACTGAATATAGTAATGTTTACATAAAGCTTTGGACAAAGGTATTATCAGCACACATTGCTTTTCATAGATAGCTTATGAGCTCTATAGCTTTTTTGTATAAAAAGTTTTAGTATAACGTAAGAGTATTTATCTCATGACATATTATACATAGTGGTTTTATTTTTTGCCATCTATAAAAATGTGTGAACTACTAAACCAAAAAAAAAAAAGTTTAGCTTCAAAACTATTCCTTTTTGATTTGGCGAAATAAACTTGCAAGCAATTTAGCACTGACCCAGAAAGAATATCCATTAGCCCTTCTGAAAATTTAGCATGCTAGGCCAGGTGTCATGGCTCACACCTGTAATCTCAGCATTTTGGGAGGCCAAGGTGGGTGGATCACTTGAGGCCAGGAGTTGGAGATCAGCCTGGCCAACATGGTGAAACTCTGTCTCTATTAAAAATACAAAAAATTAGTTGGTCATGGTGGTGGGTGCCTATAATCCCAGGTACTTGGGAGGCTGAGGCAGGAGAATTGCTTGAATCTGGGAGGTGGAGGTTGCAGTGAGCCGAGATCATGCCACTGGACTCCTGCCTGGGCGACAGAGTGAAATGCTGTCTCTAAACAAAGAAAGAAATAAATACACAAAGTTTAGCATACTGACTTTGAAATTTATAATGGTATAAACTTACTTCAAAATATATTTTGTTCTGGCCGGGTGTGGTGGCTCATGCCTGTAATCCCAGCACTTTGGGAGGCCAAGGCAGGTGGATCACCTGAGGTCAGGAGTTTGAGACCAGCTTGGCCAACACGGTAAAACCCTGTGTCTACTTAAAAATTACAAAAATTAGCTGGGGGTTGTGGTGCGCACCTGTAATCCCAGTTACTCAGGAGGCTGAGGCAGGAGAATCACCTGAACCTGGGAGGCGGAGGTTGCAGTGAGCCGAGGTTGTGCCATTTCACTTCAGCCTGGGCGACAGAGCGTGACTCTATCTCAAAAAATATGTGTGTGTGTGTGTGTGTGTGTGTGTGTGTGTGTGTGTGTGTGTGTAGATGTATTTCTTAAAAATAAAAAGATTAAACCTCAAATGATAAAAAACTACATTAGTGTTCTGTCATCTTCCATAATATAGATGAAAATGGTCAAGTTCCTGAACCTTTATGGGAGCTCACAAAAATAGTGAAAGCCATCTCTTAGGTGGATAGCAATTTTTTTCTGGGTAATAGCAATGATTAAACAGAATGGGCTTTGCTGATATACCTGTGACCTACTGCATTCTCATGAATATTGGTATCGTGGTGTTAATGCGCAGGCATTGAGTATTAGTCATGGCAAGGGACAAATATGTGTTCTCTAACTGCAAATGTAAAAGAAACTGACAATGACAATGACAAACTCATTAGTATATTTTTTTCCTGGGACCTCATTCAGGCCAGAACCACCATCTCTTTCCATTGTAATTTGGGATTGGTTGGCTAAGGCCTAACAAAATGGGTTTTTAAGTCGCTTTGCCTGTGGTTTGTTGAGAAGGGAGGGCTGGTGCCACAATCATGTGACAATACTCCACAGGGGGTTCTCCATGCTTGGAGGAGGATGCATATTTGCCAAGGGGATGGGTTTTGTGATTTGTACTTCTGGGCTTTCACTGGGAGAGCAGAGGCAACTTTTGTCTTGGTTTGTTTCCTCCAATGTGTATCGACTTTGGCTGTACTTCTTCCTTCACTATTCCAAGGCACCCTGACAGTACCACTTCTGAAATTCCACCAGGTGAATGCTCATTAAACCTTTGACCTCTTCCACTGCATCGCGGTGGAATAGGCCCAGGCAGTCCCTGAGATCAGCAGATTATTTGTGCCAGGATAACATATATTTTTAGAATTTTAAATTTTATGTATTTTGTATTCACATACTATGTAATTCAAAATAGGATTATTCCAGGAAAGTTTATTTTCAGTGAGACCATTTACAAAAGCATGGGGGTAAGAGAACCCCAATGGATAATGCAGAAACCTGGCTTTTAGTACCCTAGTTGGGGATGAGGAGAGGGAGTGGGTACTGGAACTTAAGGGGTGAGTTCTGGAATTTAGGGAGTGAATTTTACTCTAGAGTCAGAAACCCCTGAGAGGAACCACAATCTTCTTTGGAGAGACAGCCAACTCCAGGGGACCATGTTCAAGAGAGCCAGGAAATAAATACTTTGTCTTCACTAATTTTTCTCCTCTTATCTTCTGTCCTGCCTTCCATCATCCAGTCTTACCAGAAACCAGAAGGCAGGGAACTCTTTGCTATGAACCATAAAGGTCAGCCTCTTGGGGCACAGGGCAGTGTGGCAAGTGAATCACAAGGAAATGGAAATTCCTAGCATAAAAGAAGTATGTGAGGCTCTTTCCTACCTTGGCACCTAGTTCTCCTCTGCAAAAGCAACCATTTCACCAGAGCCTTCCAGAGACCTTAATCCACTCTTGTTATTTTGTAAGTAAACTGAGGAGTGGGGATTATTTTTACAGAGTTTTAAATTTGCCTAAAGCAAACCTTTTTGCTGGGAAGAAACCCCGGTATGTGCCAAAGGTTTGCTGAGGGTCACAAAAGACAATATGACACATATCCTGTTTCTGAATTCTGGACACTTTGTATACTCCATTTTGTCCTTAAAAATAATAAATAGGTTAAGTTTTTGTGTTATTGCCTTATGTTTTCTATTAGCGATCTGGCTCAGAAATAAAACATGTAAAAATATATTGGCTGTTTTCAGACAAGTAATTATAGCATTTTTTCTTCAATGGACTTTTCAGTGGTTCTAAAGCACAGTTTCCAGACCCACTGATCATGAATGGATGCTGAATTTCAGGAATGACTGAAATTGTATTCAAAATATTATGTATGTGTACTTGTGCATTTTTCAGGAGAGTGGAGCCATGACTTTCAGGAAATTCTGATAGAGGTTTTCGAGTCATAAAAGACTCAGAGACAATGGTATAAAGTTTAATTCATTTGGAATTTCTTCCTTCTCTCATTACATTTTTTTTTTTTCTTTTTGAGACAGGGTCTCGCTCTGTCGCTCAGGCTGGGGTGCAGTGGTATGACCAAAGCTCACTGCAGCCTTGAACTCCAGGGCTCAAGTGATCCTCCCATTTCCGCCTCCCGAATGTTGAGGACTACAGACATGTACCACCATGCCTGGCTAATTAAAAAATTTTTTATTTTTATTTTTATTTTTTTTTTGTAGAGATGGAGTCTCACTCTGTTGCTCAGACTGGTCTCAAACCCCTAACCTCAAGTGATCCTCCTGCCTCAGCCTCCCAAAGTGCTAGGATTACAGGCATGAACCACCACTCTTGGCCTCATTACACTTAACTATTACTTAACTATTAATTAGCTATTACTTAACCATCACTTACCTATTAATGTGACCTCTGCTTTCTTAGAGTTCAGTAGGCCAGACAGAGGGAATGATACCAGATGGTTCATGACATTGCAATTCAAATGTTCTCAGTAACTTGCAAACTAAAATTCAATGTTTTGGTGGACTAATATGTGCTAAATGATTCTTATCATATAAAACAGTGAGATTTTGGTCAAGAAATTCCACTATGACCAGTTAATAAGATGATTTATATTCAATCAGATTGTTTCAATTGGATTTTACCAAGAGAACAGTGTTTAGTTTAAGTAATAGGAAAGAGGATTTGGGTTAATGAAAAAAGGTGCATACCATTCTGTTTTTCTAGAGAAAATTGTCTGGAAATTTTATGATCTGTTTTGGTGTATGAAATTTAATTTTTTTCATATCAGTAAGTAGAGTTCGTGAATTAAACTACTACACTCATATTTAAGACTTCCTCTGATTTCATCATAAAATTATTCTTTTACATAGGATGATTTTAAATGTTTGCCATAGTTTTTATTCCGGCTTTATATTTATATACTCTGTCTTCTGGCCAAATATTTTTCTGAGAAAAAAACTATAACTTTATATTAACCATCACTAGGTAAGTTCAATAAATGATATTGTAGCAGCATTTAAAAGATTTTTCTTTTCTCTTTCAAAAGGCACACACAAACTATTGAAACTATTAGTGGAGCAATATAACTCTTGCTGCACTTTGTAAAACATTGCTAGACTAGATTAGATACATCGATTCATTACTTTTACTTATTTCACTTTTCTTTTGCTTAGGACTCTTTGTTTATAAGTATCTGAAACCTGACTTAACCAAAATAATGAATTTACTGATTTTTGTTTTCTGGTTGTTTCGTGGTCTTCTCTTCATTCTTTTCTTCCTTCGTTTTAATGAAAGATTGTTTAGATGGATTATATTCAGAACAATGGAAGTGGAACTGGCCTCAGGTATGCCTGAATCTAGGATCTCAGTTATATCAGATCTCTTTATATTTATTTATTGATATTGTTTTTAATTTCTGGGTACATAGTAGGTGTATATATTCAAGGATTATATGAAATACTTTGATACAGGCATACAATGTGTAATAACCATATCAGGGTAAATGGGATATCTGTCACCTCAAGCATTTATCCTTTGTGTTACAAACAATCCAATTATAGTCTTTTATTTATTTATTTAGAGATGGAGTCTTGCTCCATTGCCCAGGCTGGAATGCAATGGCATGATCTCAGCTCATTGCAACCTCCACCTCCCAGGTTCAAGTGATTCTCCTGCCTCAATCTCCTGAGTAGCTGGGATTACAGGCATGAGCCACCACACCTGGCTAATTTTTGCATTTTTAGTAGAGACTGGGTTTTGCCATGCGGATCAGGCTGGTCTCAAACACCCCGCCTACCTCAGCCTCCCAAAGTGCTGGGATGACAGGCATGAGCCACTGCCCCCGGCTTAGTTATTTTAAAATATACAATTAAATTGTTATTGACTATAGTAACCCTGTTGTGCTATCAAATATTAGATTTTATTGATTTTTCTACCCATTTTTTGGTACTCCTTAGCTACCCCCACTTCCCCCCTACCCTCCTGTTACCCCTCCCAGCCTCTGGTAACCATTATTCTGCTCTCTATCTCTATGAGTTAAATTGTTTTAATTTTTAAATCCCACAAATAAGTGAGAACATGTGAAGTTGCTCTTCCTGTGTCTGGCTTATTTCTCTTAACATAATGATCTCCAGTTTCATCCACGTTATTGCAAATGAAAAAATATCATTCTTTTTTATGGCTGAATAGTACTCCTTGCTATATATATACCATATTTTCTTTATCCATTCATCTGTGGTTGGACACTTAGATTGCTTCCAAATCTTGGCTATTGGGAATACTGCTTCCATAAACATGGAAGTACAGATGTCTGTTATACCGACTTCCTTTCTTTTGACTATATACCTAACAATGGGATTTCTGGATCATATGGTAGCTCTATTTTTAGTGTTTTGAGGAACCTCCAAACTGTTCTCCATAGTGGTCATACTAATTTACATTCCCACCAACATTGTATGCAGGTTGCCTTTTCTCTACATCCTCACCAGCATTTGTTATTGCCTAACTTTTGGATATAAGCCATTTTAACTGGGGTGAGATGATACCTCATTGTAGTTTTGACTTTCATTTCTCTCATGATTAATGATGCTGAACACTTTTTCATATGCCTGTTTGCCATTTGTATGTCTTCTTTGGATAAATGTATATTCAGATATTTTTGCCAATATTTTAATTAAATTATTGGATTTTTCTTTCTTTTTTTTAAATTATACTTTAAGTTTTAGGGTACATGTGCACAACGTGCAGGCTTGTTACATATGTATACATACGCCATGTTGGTGTGCTGCACCCATTAACTCATCATTTAACATTAGGTAAATCTCCTAATGCTATCCCTCCCCCCTCCCCCCACCTCACAACAGACCCCAGTGCATGATGTTCCCCTTCCTGTGTCCATGTGTTCTCATTGTTCAATTCCCACCTATGAGCGAGAACATGCAGTGTTTGGTTTTTTGTCCTTGCGATAGTTTGCTGAGAATGATGGTTACCACCTTCATCCATGTCCCTACAAAGGACATGAACTCATCATTTTTTATGGCTACATAGTATTCCATGGTGTATATGTGCCATATTTCCTTAATCCAGTCTATCATTGTTGGACATTTGGGTTGGTTCCAATTCTTTGCTATTGTGAATAGTGCCGCAATAAACATACGTGTGCATGTGTCTTTATAGCAGCATGATTTATAATCTTTTGGGTATATACCCAGTAATGGGATGGCTGGGTCAAATGGTATTTCTAGTTCTAGATCCCTGAGGAATTGCCACACTGACTTCCACAATGGTTGAACTAGTTTACAGTCCCACCAACAGTGTAAAAGTGTTCCTATTTCTCCACATCCTCTCCAGCACCTGTTGTTCCCTGAGGATTTTTCTTATTGAGTTGTTTGAGCTCCTTGTGTATTCTGGTTATTAATCCTTTGTCAGATGGTTAATTTGCAAATATTTTTTCCCATTCTGTGCATTACCTCTTCACTTTGTTGATTGTTTTCTTTGCTGTGCAGAAGCTTTTTAACTTAATGTGATCCCATTTGTCCATTTTTGCTTTGGTTGCCTGTGCGTGTGGGGTATTACTGGTATTGCTCACTCTGATATCCTGGAGAGATTCTCTAATATTTTGTTTTAGTAGTTTCAGAGTTTAAGGTCTTAGATTTGAGTCTTCAATCCATTTTGATTTGATTTTTGTATATGGCAAGAGATAGGGGTCTCGTTTCATTCCTCTATATGGATATCCAGTTTTCCCAGCACCATTTATTGAAGAAACTATCTTTTCCCCAATGTATATTCTTGGCACCTTTGTTGAAAATAAGTTCGTTGTAGATGTATGGATTTGTTTCTTGGTTCTCTATTTTTTTACATTGGTCTATTTGTCTGTTTTTATGCCAGTACCATGCTGTTTTGGTTACTATAGCTCTGAAGAATATTTTGAAGACAGGTAATATGATTTCTTCAGTTTTGTTCTTTTTACTCAACATAATTTTGGCTATTCAGGGTCTTTTGTGGTTCCACATAAATTTTAGGATTGTTTTTACTATTTCTGTGAAGAATGTCATTGGTATTTAGTAAGGATTGCATTGAATCTGTATATTGCTTTGGGTATTATGGTCATTTTAACAATATCTTTTCATTTTTTGTGTGTGTGTCCTCTTCAATTTCTTTGACAAATGTTTTATACTTTTTATTGTAGAGATCTTTAGTTTCTTTGGTTAATTCCTAGCTATTTAATTTTATAAGTATCTACTATAAATTGGATTACTTTCTTGATTCCTTTTTCAGTAATTGCTGTTAGCATGTGTGTTAGCACAGACTGGATAATTTATAAAGAAAAGAGGGTTCATTGGCACATGGTTCCACAAACTGTACAGAAGCATGGCATCATCTGCTTCTGGGGAGACCTCAGGGAACTTTTACTCATGGCAGAAGGCAAAGTGGGAGCAGGCATTTGACATGGCAGGAGCAGGACCAACAGAGAAGGGAGAGGTGCCACATACTTTTAACAACGAGATGTCACAATAACTTATTTACCCACTATCATGAAAACAGGACTGAAGGGGCGGTGCTAACCCATTCATGAGAATTCCACCCCGATGATACAGTCACTTCCCACTAGACCCCACCTTCAACACTGGGAATTACAAATTGACATGAGATTTGAGTGGAGACACAGATTCAAACCATATTAGCATGTAGAAATGCTACTGATTTTTGTATGTTGTTTTTATATCCTGCAATATGACTGAATTTATTAGTTCTAATATTTTTTGGTGGAATCTTCAGGTTTTTCCAAATACAAGATTATATAATCTGCACACAAGGATAATTTGACTTCTCCCTTTCCAATTTGGTTGCTGTTTTTAATTTCTCTTGTCTGATTGCTCTAGCTAGGTCTTCCAGTACTATGTTGAATAATAGTGATGAAATTGGGCATCCATTGTGTTGTGTTCCCAATCTTAGAGGAAGGTCTTTCAGTTTTTTTCCATTCAGTATGGTACTAACTGTGGGTCTGTTGTTATGGCTTCTATCATGTTGTGGTTTGTTTCTTCTATAGCCAGTTTTTTGAGGGCTTTTTGTCATGAAAGGGTGTTGAATTTTAGGAAATGCTTTTCATTTCAGCATCAAATGAAATGATCATATGAATTTTCTTCAACATTCTGTTAATATGATGCATCACATTGATTGATTTGTGTATGTTGGGCCATCCTTGCATCCCTGGGATGAATCCTACTTGGTTGTGATGAATGACCTTTTTAATGTATTGTTGAATTTGGTTTGCTAGTATTTTGTTGAGGAATTCTGCCTCAATGTTCATCAGGGACGTTGGCCTGTATTTTTCTTTTTTTGACACATTTTTGTCTGGCTTTAGTATCAGGGTAATACTGGCTTTGTAGAATGAGTTTGGAAGCATTCCCTCCTCCACCATTATTTGGAATAGTTTCCGTAAGATTGGTGTTAGTACTTCTTTAGATGTTTAGTAAAATTCAGCCGTGAAGCCTTAAGCTTGCAGCCTTTGTTTTTGCTGAGAGACTTTTTAATTACAGTTTTGATCTCTTTACTTGTTATTACTCTGTTCAGGTTTTGGATTTCCTCATGGTTCAATCTTGGTAGGTTGTATGTGTATAGGAATTTACCCATTTCTTCTAGCTTTTCCAATTTCTTGGCATATAGTTGCAAATAGTAGCCTCTAATTATCCTTTGAATTTCTGCAGGATCAATTGACTCTTTTCTCTTTTTTTTCCCCCATTAGGCTGGCTAAAGATTTGTCAATTTTGTTTATCTTTTCAGAAAAAAACACCTTTTGTTCTGATGACTATTTGTATTGTTTCAATTTCATTTATTTCTGCTCTGATCTTTATTATTTCTTTTCTTGTACTAACTTTGGATGTGGTTTGCTGTTGCTTTTCTAGTTGTGAAGATGCTTCATTAGGTTGTTTATTTGAGCTTTTCTACCTTTTTTTTTTTTTCTGAGACAGAGTCTTGCTCTGTTGCCCAGAGGCATTATCTTGGCTCACTGCAACCCTACCTCCCAGGTTCAAGTGATTCTCCTGCCTTGGCCTTCTGAGTAGCTGGGGTTACAGGCATGTGCCACCACATCCGGCTAATTTTGTATTTTTAGTAGAAGCAGGGTTTCACCATGTTGGCTGGCCTCGAACTCCTGACCTCAAGTGATCTGCCTGCCACAGCTTCCCAAAGTGGTGGGATTACAGGCATGAGCCACTGTGTCCAGCCTTTTTTCTACTTTTTTGATGTAAGCAGTTATAGCTAAGAGCTTCCCTCCTTAGTACTGCTTTTGCTGTATCTCATAGGTTTTGGTGTATTGTCTTGCCATTGTCACTTATTTTAAGAAATTTTAAAATTTCCTTCTTTACGTCTTCATTGACCTACTCGTCATTCAGGAGCATGTTGTTTAATTTCCATGTGTTTGTATAGTTTCCAAAATTCCTCTTGTTATTGATTTCTAGTTTGATTTCATTGTGGTCAGAGAAGAGATTTGGTATAATTTCATTTTTTTGAATGTTTTAAAGACTTGTTTTGTGGCCTAATATATGGTCTATTCTTGAGAATCATCCATGTGCTGAGGAGAAGAATGTGTATTCTGTAGCTATTGGATGAAATGTTCTGTAAATATCTATTAAGTCCATTTGTTCTATAATGCAGATTAAGTCTGATGTTTCCTTGTTGATTTTCTGTCTGGATGATCTGTCTAATGCTGAAAGTGGAGTGTTGAAATCTCCAGCTATTATTGTATTGGGGTCTGTTTCTGTCTTTAGCTCTAATATATATTTCTTAATATATCTGGGTGCACCAATGTTGAGTGTGTGTATATATATATATACACATATGTATATATTTTAATTGTTATGTATTCTTGCTGAATTGACCCTTTTCTCATTATATAATGACCTTCTTTGTCTCTTTTGTAGTGTTTGTCTTGAAATCTATTTTGTCTGACATAAGTATAGCTACTCCTGCTCACTTGTAGTTTGTATTTGCATGGAATATCTTTTTCCATCCTTTTATTTTCAGTCTATGTGTGTCCTTATAGGTGAAGTATATGTCTTATAGACAATAGAACGTGGAGTCTTGTTTTTTTATCCATTAAGCCACTCAATGCCATTTTAATTTTTTTAATTTTATTTTTTGTGGATACATAGTCAGTATATATATTTGTTGGGTATATGAGATGTTTCATTCTCTGTCTTGATTGGAGAGTTCAGTCCATTTAAATTCAATGTTATTATTGATAAATAAGGGCTTATTTCTGTTATTTTAAAATTTGTTTTCTGGTTGTTTTATGGTCTTTTCTTCCTTTCTGTCTTCTTTTTAATCACTGTGATTTTCTCTGGTGGTAGGCTTTGATTTCTTGCTTTTTATTTTTTGTGTATTTGTTATATGTTTTTCAATTTGAGGTTACCACTAGGCTTGTAAATAATATAATCCACTATTTTAAACTGATGCCAACTTAACACTGATTGCATAAATACACAAAAGAAAGCTAATATAAACTCTGCACTTTAATTTTGTCCACCCTTTTTAACTTTTGTTGTTTCTACTTTTTATTGTACTGTCTGTATCTTGAAAAGTTATTGTAATTATTACTTTTAATCAGTTCATCTTTTTGTCTTTCTGTGTAAGATATGAGTAGTTTATACACCAAAATTAGTCTTATAATAGTCTGTGTTTTTCTGTGTACTTACTATTGTCAATAAGTTTTGTACCTTCAGATGATTTTTTGCTGCTCATTAATGTCCTTTTCTTTCAGATTGAATAACTTTGTTTAGTGTTTCTTATAGGACAGGTCTGGTGTTGATGAAATCACTCAACTTTTGTTTGTCTGGGAATGTCTTTATTTCTCCTTCATATATGAATGATATTTTTGCTGGATATACTATTCTGGGGTAAAAGTTTTTTTTTTCTTTCAGAGTTTTAAATATGTCATGCCACTCTCTTCTAGCCTATAAGATTTCCATGGAAAAATCTGCTGCCAGGCATATTGGAACTTCATTGTAGTTTTTTTTCTCCTGCTACTTTTAGGATCCTTTCTTTTTTCTTGACCTTTGGGAGTCTGATTATTAAAAACCTTGAGGTAGCCTTGTTTGAGCTAAAGTCTCTTGGTGTTCTGTAATCTTCTTGTAGTTAAGTATTGATATCTTTCTCTAGGATTGGGAAGTTCTGTTATTATCCCTTTGAATAAACTTTCTACCTGCCCTCATCTCTACCTCCTATCTAATGCCAAAAACTCTTTAATTTAATTTGCCCCTTTGAGGTTGTTTTCTAGATCTTCTAGGTGTGATTCATTCTTTTTTATCCTTTTTTAAAAATTTGTCTCCTCTGATTATGTTTACAAACAGCCATCTTCAAGCTCACTACTTATTTCTTCTGCTTGATTAATTCTGCTGTTGAGAGACTCTGATGTATTCTTCAGTGTGTTAATTGCATTTTCAACTCCAGAATTTCTGCTTGATTTTTAAAATTATTTCAGTGTCTTTGTTAAATGTATCTGATAGAATTTTGAATTCTTTCTCTATGTTATCCTTAATTTCTTTGAGTTTACTCAAAACAGCCCTTTTGAAATCTGTCTGAAAAGTCACATATCTCTCTCTGGGATAAGTCCCTCGTGCCTTATTTTATTATTTGGTGATATGGCTTGGCTCTGTGTCTCCACCCAAATCTCATGTTGAATTGTAATTCCTAATTTTGGAGGTGGTACATGGTGGGAGGTTATTGGATTGTGTGGCTGGTTTCTAATGGTTAGCATCATCCACCTAGTGCTGTCTTGTGATAGAGGTCTCATGAGATCTCGTTGTTTGAAAGTGTGTAGCACCTCCCTCTTTGCTCTCTCTCTCTCATGCCAGCCAAGTGAAAATGTGCTTGTTTCCCCTTTGCCTTCCGCCATGATTGTAAATTTCCTCAGGCCTCCCCCGAAGCAGAAGCCTGTGCAGCCTGCAGAACCATGAACTGATTAAACTTCTTCTCTCGGCCGGGCACGGTGGCTCATGCCTGTAATCCCAGCACTTTGGGAGGCCAAGGTGGGCGGATCACAAGGTCAGGAGATTGAGACCATCCTGGCTAACACAGTGAAACCCCATCTCTACTAAAAATACAAAAAATTAGCCGGGCGTGGTGGCGGGCACCTGTAGTCCCAGCTACTCAGGAGGCTGAGGCAGGAGAATGGCGTGAACCTGGGAGGCGGAGCTTGCAGTGAACCAAGATCGCGCCACTGCACTCCAGCCTGGGCGACAGAGCAAGACTCCGTCTCAAAAACAAACAAACAAACAAACAAAAAACCAACTTCTTTTCTGTATAAATTACCTAGTCTCAGTTCTTTATAGTAATGTGAGAATGGACTAATACAGAAAATTGGTACCAGGAGTGGGGTATTGCTATAAGGATACCTGAAAATGTGGAAGCAGCTTTAAAACTGGGTAGTGGGCAGAGGATGGAGCAGTTTGAAGGTTCAGAAGAAGAGAGGAAGATGAGAGAAAGTTTGGAAATTCCTAGAGACTTGTTAAATTGTTGTGACCAAAATGCTGATAGTGATATGGACAATGAAGTTCAGGTTTAAGTGGTCTCAGATGGAGTTGAGGAACTTATTGGGGACTGGAGTAAAGGTCACTCTTGCTTTGCTTTAGCAGAGACTGGTGGCACTATGCCCCTGCTCTAGGGATCAGTTGAACTTTGAACTTGAAAGAGATGATTTAGGGTATCTGGTGGACAAAATTTCTAAGTAGCAAAGCATTCAAGATGTGGCTTCTTCTTACCATGTATGCTCAGATGTGTGAACAAAGAGATTATCTGAACCTGGAACTTATATTTAAAAGGGAAGCAGAGCATGCCTGGAAGGTGTTTCAGAGACCTTCATGGCAGCCCCTCCCATCACAGGCCTGGAGGCCTGGAAGGGAAGAATGATTTTATGGGCCAGGCCCAGGGTCCCACTGCCCTGCACAACCTCAGGACACTGCTCCCTCTGTCCCAGCCACTCCAGCTCCAGCTGTGGCTAAAAGGGCCCCAGATACATCTCAGGCTGCTGCTCCAGAGGGTGCAAGCTGGAGCTGCCAAGCCTTCCAGATGGTGTTAGGCCTGTGGGTGCACAGAGAGCAAGAGTTGAGGCTTGGGTGCCTCTGCCTAGATTTCAGAGGATGTATAGAAATACCTGGATGTCCAGGCAGAAGTCTACTGCAGGGACAGAGCCCTCAGGGAGAACCTCTACTAGGGCAGTACAGAGGGGAAATGTGATGTTAGAGCCCCACACATTGGGGCACTCCTGGTGGAGCTCTGAGAAGAAGGCCACCATTCTCCAATCCCCAGAATGATAGATCCACTGACAACTTGCACCATGCACCTGGAAAAGCTGCAGGTACTCAACACCAGCCTGTGAAAGCGGCCATTGGGTCTGTATTCTGCAAAACTGGGGTGGAGCTGCTCAGGGACTTGGGAGCCCACTTTTTGCATCAGTGTGGCCTGGATATGAAACATGGAGTCAAAAGACATTAAATGATTGCCCTGCTGGGTTTTGGACTTGCGTGGGGCTTGTAGCCCCTTGGTTTTGGCCAATTTCTCCTTTTTGGAAAGGGAGCATTTACCCAATGCCTATACCTCCATTGTGTTTTGGAAGTGACTATCTTGTTTTTGATTTTACAGGCTCATAGGTGGAAAGGACCTGCCTTGTCTCAGATGTGACTTTGGACTTGGACTTTTGAGTTAATGCTGGAATGAGTTAAGACTTTGGGAGACTGTTAGGAAGTCATTACTGTGTTTTGAAATGTGAAAAGGACATGAGATTCGGTGGGGGAGGCAGGGGCAGAACGATATGGCTTGGCTCTGTATTTTCACCCAAATCTTATGTTGAATTATAATTCCCAGTGTTGGAGGTGCGGTCTGGTGGGAGGTGATTGGATTGTAATGGTTTAACACCATCCCTTTAGGGCTGTCTCATGATACAGTTCTCACAAAATCTGGTTGTTTGTAAGTGTGTAACACCACCCCCTTTGCTCCCTGTCTCTCTCTTGCTAGCCATATGAAGATGTGCTTATTTCTCTTTTGCTTTTCATCATGGTTGTGAATTTTCTGAGGCCTTCCCAGAAGTAGAAGCCTGTACACCCTGCAGAACTGTGAGCCGATCCAACCTCTTTTCTACATAAATTACCCATTCTCAGGTAGTTCTTTATAGCAGTGTGAGAATGGACTAATACATTTGGTTAAGTCATGTTTTTCTGGTCTTGCTGGTCTTGATGCTTATGGATGTTCATTGGTTTCTGGGTGTGGAAGAGTTAGGTATTTACTGTAGTCTTCATAGTCTGGGCTTCTTTGTACCTGTCTTTGGGAAGGCTTTCCAGGTGTATGAAGCTTGGGTGTTGTGATATACATTTTTGGTTGCTGCAGCTGTATCTGCATTAGGGGACACCCCAAGCCCAGTAATGCTATGGCTCTTGCAGACTTGTAGAGGTGTAAGCTTGGTGGTCTTGGATAAGATCCTGAAGAATTCTGTTTATCCAGGCAGAGACTCTTGTTCTTTTCCCTTACTTTCTGGCAATCAAACAGAGTCTCTCATTCTGTGCTGGGCTGCCTGGGGCTGAGTGTCGGGGTGACACAATCACCCATGTGGCCACCATCACTGGGACCACAGTGGTGGTTCAGACCCAGAGCTAACATAGCACTGCATCTTGCCCAAGGCCAGTGGTGACCACTGCCTTGCTACCATCTATGTTTGCTCAAGGCCCTAAGGGTCTACCATCAGCTGGTGGCAAAGCCAGCCAGGCCTTTGTTCTTCCCTACAGGGCAATGGGATTCCCCAGGCTTTGGGTGGGTCCAGAGATACCATCTGGAGATCAGGACCTGGAGTCAGAAACCTTAGAAATCTACCTGGTGCTCCATTCTTCTGTAGCTGAGCTGGCGTCCAAGCCACAAGACAAAATCCTTTCTACTCTTGCCTTTCCACAGGCAGAGGATTCTCTCCCTGTGTCCACCACCCCACAGGCCCACGTGGAGTACTGCCAGGCTACCACTAATGTTTACTTAAGGCCCAGGGGCTCTTCAGTCAGTTTGTAGTGAATGCTTCTAGGCCTGGAGCTCACTGTTAAGGGCAGTGAGCTCCCCTCTGGCCCAGAGCAGATCCAGAAATGCCTTCCAGGAGCCAAAGCCTGGGACCTAGTACTTCAAGAACCTGCTTGGTGCTCCACCCCAGTGTGGCCAAACTGGTACCTAAGGTGCAAGACAAAGCCCCCTTTACTCTTCCCTCTGCTTTTCTCAAGCAGATGGAGTCCCTCCTTGTGGCCACCATAGCTGGGAATGTGCTAGTGAAGTCAGCACATCTCAGAGTCTCACCCCAGGCCCACGGCATGTACTGCTTGGCTACTGCTGCCGATTATTCAGGGCCCAAAGGCTCTATATTTAGCAGGTGATGAATCCTGCCAGAAGTTGGTCCTTCCCTTTAAGGTAGTGGCTTCCTTTTTGGGATAGCGTGTGTCTAGAAATGCCTGGGAGCTGGGCCCTGGAATGAGGGCCTCACGACTCTTCCCAGTGCCATATTCTGCTGTGGCTGAGCTGGTATCCAAGTTGCAAAACGATGTCTTCATTACTCTTCCCTGTCCTCTCTTGAAGCAGAAGGAAGAAGTCTTTTTTGGAGCTGCAAGCTGTGCTGCCAGGGACTGGGGGAGGTGTGGTACAGGCACTCCCTTAGATACCTCAGCTCGTGTCTCAGTAACTTGAGTGCCCCCAAGTCCCCTAAGCCCAGCACAGCACTAGGACTTGCTTAGGAGTTGCAGTCCTTATGGCTTAGACTGTCTTTCAGGTTTATTTAGGGCACCGAAGCACTTTAGCCTCAGGTAGTGAGGCTTGCCAAACTCAAGTTCTGACCACTAGGATGGTCGATTCCCCTTTGGCTAGGGCTCATTTAAATGCTCCTTCTGTGGGCATCAGCTGAGTTCTGTCTGGTGTTGCAGCACTGAATTCCAACGCAAAGTCCCACAATTGCTGTGCTCTCCCTTGCCTAAGTGCACAGTTTCTCTCTCTGTGCCATGAGGCTGCTGCTGGGGTGTGGGGAAGGGTTGCTGTTGGCAATTGAAGACTGTCTTTCCTACTGTCTTCAGTGCCTGTTTCAGTGATTAGAAGTTTAAACTATTTACTGATCTCTCACCTGATTCTTGGTTCTTATGTAAGTGTTTTTCTGTGTAGATAGCTGGTAAATTTGGTGTTCCTGCAGAGAGGATGACCTGTGGAAGCTTCTATTTGGCCATCTTGCCCTGCCTCATTCTCTTGCTCCTTTATTTCTTGATTCTACTTGAGTTTGTGTTTGCCTCGTTCTCCTAATATGGTTTTTCTTCATGCCAAGAAACAGATTATGGTCACCGAAAGGTCAAGACTTGTTATACTCTAGGCAGCAAACACTGTAGGAAGGAAAACTTTCTTTTCACTTATTAATATATACAAATCCAAGAGAAAGGAGTTTGTTGCCTTGGCTTGGGCCCTAGATCCAGTTGTGTCAATTGCTATACCAGCAGCTTATCCCACATTTAGCAGTCCATTTATGGAACAGTGGAGCCTTCCCCCAAGGGAAGGGGTGGGGATAGTATTATCAGAGTAAGCAGATAAGGTTGCTGGGCTGGTGTAGACAGCAGATTTCCAGCACAATGTATTATGTATACAGTTGGACCTCCACATCTGTGGGTTCCATATTCATAGATTCAACCAACCGTGGATCAAAAGTATTTTTTTAAAAATTGGATGGTTGCATCTGTTCTGAACATGTATTGATTTTGTTCTTGTTATTATTCTCTAAACAATACAGTATTACAACAATTTACGTAGCATTCATGTTGTATTAGATATTATAAGTAATCTAGAGATGACCAGAGTAATGCATAGGCTGTATGCAAATACCACACCATTTTATATAACAGACTTGAGTATCCATGGATTTTGGTATCTGCTCAGGGTCCTGGAACCAATTCCCCAAGGATACCAAGGGATGATTTTAGTCGTGTCAGAAAATACTGCTACCAAATTAGTAACTAGAGTGCTGTCTTCTGAGTTTCATAAGCTATGGATTAAACTTCTTTTTCTAGCAGTAAAAGCACAGGCAAAGTCAGGAAAAATATGGATCTGTTTAATTTCCACATGTTCTTGGTCTTTGTGTAGAAGAAAGTCAAGTAGATAATACTTACATGTAATCATCACATAATCTTTATTGTTGCAGAAAGCTTTTAAGTCACCGACTAGCTGGCAAAATTAAATATAAATGCAAATGAAAAATAAGTATCACAGTACTTTTTATGCTACTCACACATTTGGAAATAATCTCTGCATGGGTATTTAAAACACAATAGGCTTTCACTGCTTATTTTTCTATATAATCCTTCATTTTTCTTTTGGAAATTACCAAAACCTTCACTAAAGAAAGAAAATAACCCAGAGTTGTAATTGATGCAAGGTTTATTGCCCCTCCCAAAGTTCAGAAATCCTCTAGTGTGAATGTTTTTATTTGCTTAATTCTTTTGATGGAAAAATATAATATCTTTCTTCTGTTGCAGCATTCTAATGAGGGCTGGGGATGGACATGAAAGGGAGTAAAGATGTAAAATATTTTTCACAATTGTATTTTTAATATAGCAACCCATTTTATCACCACATTTATTACCATTTGTAATGTTTGGCAATCATTAATAATACGTTAACAGTATAACAGCACAGATATAAGGAAGTTTCCTTACTTTAGCACTTCACTGGAATACAGTACTGTATCTGTTTCCCCTTTGATATAAAACCTCTGGATACATTGAGCCCATACTTAGTTTATTTTTATTTTAATTAACTGTTCTCCCTTATCCTTCCTTGCTGCCCAGTCTGTGAGAAAGTTGTGAATTAGAATAAAATGAAAACTCTTCTGATTCATTCACCAATTTTTGAGTGTTATTTTGTACAGTGACTGCAATTTATAACAAAAACAGAAATAAAAAGAAAAAGAGAGCCTCCTCCTATGTAATCTTACCATTTGAAGAAAACAGTTGGCTTTTCCTTCTTTTCTTTCTTTTCCTTTCCCAATGAGAATATATATATATTTTATGTCATGTCATTGTGATCATACTTAGGTAGAATTTGTAGTCTTCCCTCTCCATTTAACATCTGTCATAAACATTTCCATGTATTCCACATTCATTTATGGCTACATATTTGCTGATGTTCCATAATATGCAAAAGAATTGAAAATTTCATTGGACATTTATGTTATTTTCAGTCTTGAACTCTATAAATGATGCTATTATGAACATATTTGCGCAGTAGAGCCTCTCTTCTGGGATTCTTTCTTTGAGAAAAATTCTAAGTAATGGAATTAGTAGATCAAAGGGTAGATACATTTTTTATAGCCCAGTTTTCTAGTGGATTTGAGATGTTTTTGACATCTGGAAATATTTAACGATGATGTTTTGATAGTTTATTTTAAATTAAAGCTCTTAAAAATTCAATTTTTTCTTAATGTAATTTTAATTCTTATTCTTCATTGGACCTATCTTATGCGTTCTACAAAATTATCTCCATTTTTTCTGTTTCACATGATAGAGAAAAAAATGAAAATCTAAAGCCTAGATTTACATATGCAAGAAATAAAAGGGAAAGATGAGAGGACATATATTGATTTTTTCACCCTGTTGTCTAATTTTCATTAAGTCTGCCTGCTGTCCAATTTCCCATAGGTTGGCCTGCTACCTAATTTCCATTAGGTCTGCCTTGATGTGTTTTATTTTTTTATTTTTATTTTTATTTTTTTTTGCCTATGGATAAGAGCTTATTTCATAACTGTATCTGTATGTTAACCTTTAAACCCTGCTGTGGTCAATGAAGAATGATGTTTGATAACATCCTCACCATCTTTCCCTTCACAAGAAGATTTTGTACAATTATACCGGCTTTCTATACCTTATACACACACTCACTTTCTCTCCTGGGAGTTTTTCATAAAACTAGATCACTTTCATTTTCTGTGATAATATAGCCATATGTACTATCTCTTTAAGACTTTCAGTGGGAAACTTTGTGCCAATATTCAGAGAGTCTTAAATGCCTGTTGTACAGCTTGATAAACCAAAGATAATGGGTTTAATTCTGAACTTGTATCTCATAAGCAGTTTTTTGTACCCCATGGACATAGTGATATATCTCAGCCAGCATAGAAATATTCAGGAGTTATGAGCTACTTGATTGTAAGTGTTGGGAAACCAGACAACATCTTGTAATTTTTTGTGTGTCTCTAGGACCTAGCTCAGTTCCTGACAAGTGTGACTTTTAGCATTCTCCATGTCCTGTGGATAGATAAGTATACTCCATCTATTCTATGGGAGAGAATGTAGACTATGAAGTGATAAGTTTCAGGAATAATTGGCTTATTTTGACTTAGGATAGAAAGGTATTAAAAATTAGCAATGAGCTAAATTTATTACATATAGTGTAAATTTTAGAATGTTTTGGCTTATGGTTGTCAGACATATTCACTGCCTTATGAACTACAAAATCCCTGGATTTAAACTTAGACTGGAGCATCCAAATATAAGCACGCTCTAAAAAAAAAGTCACATAAACAGAATGATACATCTCTGCTATTCTTTTTTTTTTTTTTTTCTTTTGAGACGGAGTTTCGCTCTGTCGCCCAGGCTGGAGTGCAGTGGTGCGATCTCGACTCACTGCAAGCTCCGCCTCCCGGGTTCACGCCATTCTCCTGCCTCAGCCTCCCGTGTAGCTGGGACTACAGGCGCGCACCACCATGCCCGGCTAATTTTTGTATTTTTAGTAGAGACGGGGTTTCACCGTGTTAGCCAGGATGGTCTCGATCTCCTGACCTCGTGATCCGCCCGTCTCGGCCTCCCAAAGTGCTGGGATTACAGGCATCTCTGCTATTCTACATAGTAACTGAATAATAGATATTTCTTCTTCTTCTTCTTTTTTTTTTTTTTAGACAGAGTCTCGCTCTGTTGCCCAGGCGGGAGCACAGTGGTGCCATCACTGCTTAATGTAGCCTCGACCTTCTGGGCTCAAGCAATCCTCCCACCTCAGCCTCTCGAGTAGCTGGGACTATAGGCATGTGAGGCCATGCCTGGCTAATTTTTTAGTTTTTTGTAGAGGTTGGTTTTCACTATGTTGCCCAGGCTGGTCTCAGACTTCTGGGCTCAAGCGATCCTCCTGTCTTAGCCTCATAATACATTTCTTAACCCAACTGAAGAGCTCCAGATTTTTCCAAGACTATGGATCTGCAAAGGATGGTAGTCATAATCATCAAGTTTATGAGAAGGAGTTTTACATTAGAAAACAATTTCATGGGCCGGGCATGGTGGCTCACACCTGTAATCCCAGCACTTTGGAGGCCAAGGGAGGCGGATCACGAGGTCAGGAGATCGAGACCATCCTGGCTAACACGGTGAAACCCCATCTCTACTAAAAATACAAAAAATTAGCCAGACATGGTGGCACACGCCTGTAGTCCCAGCTACTTGGGAGGCTGAGGCAGGAGAATCACTTGAACCGGGAGGCGGCGGTTGCAGTGAGCCGAGATTGCACCACTGCACTCCAGCCTGGGCAACAGGGCAACAGAGCGAGATTCTGTCTCAAAAAAAAAAAAAAAATATATATATATATATATATACATTTCATGTACGGTGGCTATAATCTGAACCTGATTTTGTTTCTATATCTTTCCAAATATTAAGGATTCCAAGGACAGGGACAGATAATATAATTATGGTTGAAATGTTTTTCATTCATGTTTGCATGTGTGTGTGTGTGTGTCTGTGTGTCTGTGTGTCTGTGTTTAGTATGACCAGTGGTGATTACTGTTTGGCATTTATTACGTATCTAAAAAGAGAAAGAATGAGCCACTTTTCTTTTTCTCACTATCTTGTTTCTATCTGTGTTATTCTACTGAATATACTCTCGCCACTTTACCAGTAACATACTAGTCTTCAAACTTAATGACCGTTTTTGTCCTTGGATTCTCTGTAGGTACTTGAAAAGGCTGATTCTCTCATCCTCAAAACTCTTAATAGTAATTCTTCCTTCCTTTTCTCCAGCTTCTTTTTAGCACATCTTCCCTCTCTAAATGTAGACATATCCAAGCCTGAGTCAGTGTCCTTTTCACTCTCCCACTCATCACAGTTCAACCCTATTTCTGTAGATATTTGCTAAGCCTGACCTCTTTCATGACTGTTCTCCCCACACCACCAGTTCCTATTGCATCTTTCTCAAAGGGTCAGGATTTCAGTTATCACTTCAAGATCAACACTTCCATTTTTTTTTTAATTTTATTTTTTGAGATGGAGTCTTGCTCTGTCACCCAGGCTGAAGTACAGTGGTACAATCTTGGCTCACTACAACCTCCATCTCTTAGGTTCAAGCTATTCTCCTGCCTCAGCCTCCTGAGTAGCTGGGATTACAGGAACCCGCCACCATACCCAGCTACTTTTTGCATTTTTAGTAGAGACGAGGTTTCACCATGTTGGCCAGGCTGGTCTCGAACTCCTGACCTTAGGTGATCCACCCGCCTCAGCCTCTCAAAGTGCTGGGATTACAGGCGTGAGCCACTGAGCCTAGCCAACACATCCATTGTTAAACTCATCAGCTTACTCCCCATCACCATCAGGTCTTCTAGATTTTCACACATCTGTAAGTGGTTCTGTCTATACTTCCCCTGTCATCCAAGTTTATTAAATATCTGTTGCAGATGATGTGGTAAAGAGAAAATTAAAATTTTATTTAGTTTTTTTTTTGTTTTGTTTTTCTATTGCTGTGTAACAAATTAACACAAACTTAGTGGCTTAAAATAACACAAATTTATTATCTCACACTTTATGTGGTTCAGGATTTTGTTTTCAGATGAGCTGGGTCTCTGCTTAGGGTGAAGTAAAGGTGTTGGCCTGTTTGCTTGTTCAGATGAGCTGGGTCTCTGCTCAGGGTGAAATAAAGGTGTTGGCTTACATCTGAGGTTTGGGGGTTTTCTCAGAGTCATTCAAGGTTGTTGGCAGAATTCAGCATTCCTTGTGGCTCGATGACTAAGGTCCCTGTTTTCTTGCTAAGAGTTGGATCAAAACCTCTCTTAGCCCCAAAAGGTCACTCTCAGATCTTGTCCAATGGCCCCTTCCATAGGCAGTTTATAATATGGCAACTGCTTTTTCCAGGCTAGCAGGAGAGCTTTTGCTATGGCTTCTGACCTGATTAAGGGCTCACAATATTAAATTAGGCCACTCAAAGTTGTCTCCCTTTTCATTAACACAAAGTCAGCTGATAAAGGACCTTAATTACATCTGTGAAAACCCCTTTGCCATGTAACATTATATGGATGGTAACCCATCGTATTTACAGTCCCACCAATATTCAAGGGGAAGGAATTGTGCAGGGGGTATACACCTTGGGGTGGGAATCTTGGGGGCTATCTTAGAATTCTACTTACCACAGGACAGATGGAATCAAGAATGGTAGTGAGTGCCATCATTAATTATTTGCGGAAGTTAAAATAGTTATACTAACATAGATGGTGCCAATGGAATGCTAGCTTGGAGTTTTACATTAGTATGTGCATGTTTGTGGAAAACTATACTAATTACACATCCATATATATTTTATATATATAAAAATACCTAAAAATGTTTTAATATACTCATCTATATCTATACATTCATTTTATCTTAAATCTGTCTTTGTTACCTCTTTGTAAACATTTCCCACAACTCAACTATATTTGAATGTGAAATTTAAGATTAATTTTGCAAATATCATGTTTTTAATGAGAGATACACGCCAGTACTTTTGCCCTTATCCTTTGTTATAAAATTCTGGACAATTTAACATGCTTTTTTCCCTAGCCCAGGTAAAGTGTAATGTAAAGTGACTGCCTTCCTCTGTCTTCCCAGATAAGGATAATTGCTTCTGGTGAATAATCAAATTATGGCTTTCATCCTCTGACCTTTGAAGGAATAGCATTCCCTTTATTTTAAGTTGCCTTTGTGTGTATGTGTGTGAGCCAAGCCACATTTTGAAATGCAATTTTTCTTAGAAACAGATCTGTTGAGAAACAAAATAAAAATGTAGATTTCTTATTTGAATAGAGAGAAAAGTGTTTTTCTCTGGTTTCTTAAAATGTATTTATAAATAGCACCTGTTTCTATGTAAATATAGAGATTTGTTGTTAATTGTTCTCTGCTGGTATTGCTAAAATTGATGATAGAGCTTTTCTTTGAGTCATATCTATACTGTATTGTTTGCTGTACTGTCTAAATCATTTCTCCAATCTAAGAAGAAAGTTTATCTTCAGGGGAGGGCTTTCTCACTGTTTTCCATTGATTTTGAATACATCAGAATCTATTGCCAGTTTTTGATTGTTTATTTAGTAGGCCATAAGAAAGATTCAAGTTTACTTCCATTTTGCAGAGGGTTTGAAAATTTATAAATTTTCCAAATATGGTGTGTTAGCTAGAGCATCTTGTAGGGAGGAAAAATGTGAGAAGTGAACTTTGGTTTCATTTTCAAATTGGTGGATTATGTTGATCTGGTATATAGCTGGTATGAAACTAAATACTGACACTTAAAGACTTAACTGTTTTGTTTGCCTGTTTAATTTGGAGCTGCTTATAGCTATTGAGATCATTACATGCAACAATCTTTTGTATATTTATTCATAGATTACTCTGCTATACAGCCTTTAGCTTTATACTTGATTTGAAGTTTGAAATGAAATTGGAAATTAATATTTTTACCTTTACTCACATGCACATTCAGTCTTCATTTCTCTCCATTGACTTAGCATTTCTCTTCATTTAGGAAAAAAAATAGATTTGTGGCTCAGTTAGTAATTATGTTCATCCTCCAATTCAAGTCTTTCCTGAACTTGTTCAGGTCAGGCTGACATTTTGCACTTGATTAAGGGAGACTCGATGATAGCTAGGAATCCACAATATAATATCTTGTTCTTGAGTGTGACTTAATGTGCTTCTAACCTAATCTCAAGGTGTCCTGATTGTCTTGTTCATTCATTGATATTTCTTCCTATTTCCTTGGCATACCAGATCAAAATTTGAATATATTAATAGCCTTCTAAGGAAAGAAATACACCATAGCTGTAAAAGAAGAAAAAGTTGCTTCTGGTAGCAAGAAGGTGGATGACACAAACTTCCTTGCGCAATGGTGACCTTTCAATTAGCTTACCTATTTTCTCTGTTCTTTGAGGGTTTGATGCTAGCTGCCCATTTCAAATCTGCAGCTTCAAACAATATTGCTGTTTCTTCTTTGAAACATAGATCTCAGGGAAGTGACTGTTGGAAAAGTAATAATAATGATTCTGTTTATTATTTTATTAACTGTATATATTAGTACAGATAAATGAACACATGGATAAAGAATATTCTATACTTTGGGAGGCCGAGATGGGCAGATCATGAGGTCAGGAGATCGAGACCATCCTGGCTAACACGATGAAACCCCGTCTCTACTAAAAATACAAAAAATTAGCCCGGCGTGGTGGCGGGCACCTGTAGTCCCAGCTACTCGGGAGGCTGAGGCAGGAGAATGGTGTAAACCTGGGTGGCAGAGCTTGCAGTGAGCCTAGATCGCGCCACTGCACTCCAGCCTGGGTGACTGAGCGAGGCTCAGTATCAAAAAAAAAAAAAAAAAGAATATTCTACTTTTCAGGGTAAGATTTATGCCATTCCATATTATAGAAAATGTATGCTAGCCAGTCTCAGTGGCATGCGCATGTAGTCCCAGCTAGTTGGGAAGCTGGGGGATCACTTAAGCCCAGGAGTTAGAGGTTCTAGTATGTTACGATTGTGGAGTGCCCTCCAACATGGGCAAGCCTGGATAGTGAGACTCCATCTCTTAAAAAAAAAGAGAAGAAAATGTATACTTAAAAATTTATATTTATTTCCAATTTGAATCAGTGAAAAAGCTGAGTAAAGGTATAGACAAAATAAAGAGCATTTACATTATTTATTTCAGATACATCCATGCAAATCCACACAAGTCCATATGTGGATGTAAATTGTGGAGAGTTTTTAATCAGTGTGCATGCCATTTAAAAATACAAGAGATCCTAGGGAAAATAATTTCCATTTTTAGCATCAAAGATACTTCATCTGTTTTTATAAATGTGTGTTATATAAATCAAATCAACTATTCTTCTCATTGCTACAGTATGGCATACATTAAATCCAAAGAGAAGTACTTGTTCTTGAAATTAAAATAGGGAAGCCAAACAATATGTCAGTTATTAAAAAGTAGATTTTTAAAATGATTTTCAAAATTGTAGTCAAATAATAGCCCTTGACTGCTCTCAAATATTACATTGCAGTTCCACTCTTAGCTAAGCTATTGATAATTCAATTATTTGAAGAAAGTGGTTTAAAATTAACTTAAAAGTTACTCTTCCCTTTTGGATAATAGATTCTGCATCATATCATCTATGATTATGATGATGATGTCTTTAGAGTGCTCAGGAACTGCTATGTTATCTGCTCTGTTATGTGGTTCCATAATGATAACATGCAGATGGATGTATACGTGGAATTTTCAACTAAAAGCTCCTCGATTTGGAGAAATTTATTAAATTCATATAATGGAGACTTTTTGTTTGTTTTTGAGATGGAGTCTCACTCTGTCTCCCAGGCTGGAGTGCAGTGGCGCGGTCTCGGCTCACTGCAACCTCCCCTTCCCGGGTTCAATCAATTCTCCTGCCTCAGCCTCCTGAGTAGCCGGGACTACAGGTGTGTGCCACCATGCCTGGCTAATTTTTTGTATATTTAGTAGAGACAGGGTTTCATTGTGTTAGCCAGGATGGTCTCGATCTCCTGACCTCATGATCCACCCGCCTCGGTCTCCCAAAGTGCTGGGATTACAGGTGCCTGGCCTTTTTTTTTGAGAGGAAGTCTTGGTCTTGTCAGTTAGGCTGGAGTGCAGTGGCGCGATCTCGGCTCACTGCAACCTCTGCCTCCTGGGTTCAAGTGATTCTCCTGCCTCAGCCTCCCAAGTACCTGGGATTGAGGCACCTGCCACCACACCTGGCTAATTTTTGTATTTTTAGTAGAGACGGGGTTTCACCATGTTGGCCAGGCTGGTTTGGAACTCTTGACCTCAGGCGATCCGCCCACCTCGGCCTCCCAAAGTGCTGGGATTACAGGTTTGAGCCACTGCACCCGGCCTTTTTTTCTTGAGACAAACTCTCGCTCTTGTTGCCCAGGCTGGAGTACAATGGCGTGATCTCAGCTCACTGCAACCTCCGCCTCCCGGGTTCAGGCGACTCTCCTGCCTCAGCCTCCGGAGTACCTGGGATTACAGGCACCTGCCACCACACCGGGCTAATTTTTGTATTTTTAGTAGAGACAGGGTTTCACCATGTTGGCCAGGCTGGTCTCAAACTCCTGACTTCAGGCAATCTGTCCACCTCAGTCTCCCAAAATGCTGGGATTATAGGCTTGAGCCACCGCACCAGGCCTAATAGAGACATTTCAACCATGAATCTCCTTTGTTAATTCTTTCTATGTCTTGCAGTTAGGTTATTTTTTTTTTCTTGTTGCTTTCCCACCCAGCTTTATTAAGATATGATTGAAAAAAATTGTGTATATTTATGGTATGCATGATGTTTTGATGTATGTACATACTGTGAAATGATTACATCAAGTGAATTACTTTATCTGTCACCTCACGTACTTTTCATGTTTTTATGGTGAGAACATTTCACCATTTCCAAGTATATAATACATTACTAACTGTAGTTACCACAGTGTGCAATAGATCTCCAGAACTTATTGCCCCAGTATAATTGGACTTTTGTACCTTTTAACCAGTGTCTCTCTGTACACCCTCCTCACTTCCTCCAGAGTCTGGCACCATCATTATACTTTCTCTTTCGTGAGTTCAACTTTTTTAGATTCCACATGTAAATGAGATCATGTAGTATTTGTCTTTCTGTGCCTGGCTTATTTCATTTATAATGTCCTCCAGGTTCATTCGTGTTGTTGCAAATGACAGGATTTCCTTCATTTTAAGGCTGAGTCGTATTCTATTGTGTGTGTGTGTGTGTGTGTGTGTGTGTGTGTGTGTGTGTGTGTATGTCACCCTGTTTTCTTTATCCATTCATTCATCCATAGATACTTAGTTTGACCCCATATCTTAGGTATTGCGAATAGTGCTGTAATAAACATGGGAGTGCAGATATCTCTTTGACATACTGATTTCATTTTCTTTGGATGCATACCCAGAAGGGGGAGTGCTGGATCATATCATAGTTCTATTTTTAATTCTTGGAGAAACCTCCAGATTGTTTTTCCTAATGGCTGTACTAATTTATATTCCCATCAACAGTGTGTGAGAGTTCCTTTTTCTCTACATCCTCACCAGCCCTTGCTATCTTTTTGTTATTTTTTGATAAAAGCCATTCTTACTTGTGTGAGGTGATATCTCATTGTGGTTTCACTTTGCATTTCCCTGATTATTAATGATGTTGAGTATTTTTTCATTTACCTGTTGTCCATTTGTATATCTTCTTTGTAAAAATGTCTATTCAGATCCTTTGCCTATTTTTTCCATCATGTTATTTGTTTTCTTGTTATTGAGTTTTTTGAGTTCCTCATATATTTTGGATGTTAACACCTTATCAGATGTTTGTTTCAGAAATATTTGCCCCCATTTTGTAGGTTTTCTCTTCATTCTGTTGATTGTTCCTGTGCAGAAGCTTTGTAGTTTGGTATTATGCTATTTGTTTATTTTTGCTTCTGTTGCCTGTGTTTTGGGGGTTATAGCCAAAACAATTATTGCCCAGAGCAATATCAGGAAGCTTTTACCCTATGTTTTCTTCCAAAAGTTTTATAGCTTCAGGTCTGTGTTTAAGTCTTTAGCCTATTTTGAGTGTTTTTTATATATGTCATGATTTCAGAGTCTGATTTTATTGTTTTGCATGTGGTTATCCAGTTTTCCAACACTATTACAGTTAGGTTAATTTTTATAGGACTTTCATCTTGAATAGTTCTTTAATGTGCACTGGCCACTTTGTTGATACAATATAAAATCATGGGCAACTTAGTTTTACTCTTTTTCATTAATAGTGGAATGTGGTTGTTCAGATGGTAGACTCAGGAATTAGACCTACGTGGGAATACATCTTGGTGTAATCATTCACCAGCTGTGGAACTTGGTGCTTGTTCCTTTCACTGGCCACTTGTGTACCTCCTTGGGCTTGCCATTTGTCTTCAGGCATCTATTTCCTAGCCTACCAAATGAGATCATATTTATAACTACCTTCCCAATTGGCTGTTTATTTCTGTGATCTATGGATGCATTTAAAATACCTAGTACAGTTCCTGGCACACCATAAATGCTAGCTGGTGGTATTATTTCCTCAACTTAAACTCTCAGGCAGGCTTATCTTTTCTCTACCTCTGTAGTTTTTTCCCTGCCACAGCTTTGCTGTTGTTATTCTTTTCATTTGAAATGTTCCTCTATGCCTCTTTACAAACCATGGACATTTAATCTATCTTCCAGCAATTAAGTCTTCATGAATCCTGATTTGACTGTTCTAATTCACCAAGATCTTTTCTTTTCATGGAGTCTGTGTGTCTACTGTCAGTTCTGTTTATTGTGACTCTCAATGATACATTGGGATTTGATTTTTGTATTTTCTTGTTTTGTTAATAAGACTCAAAATTCCATGCAGTCAAGTGCTCTCTAAATTTTTACATATTTCTAAAAATTGAGCACACAGGCATGTTTTGGATTTTTTTGTCTTTTATTAAAAAATGATTTTTTGTTATGTACCATGAACTGTATGTATTCTGAACATTGAAGATACTACTAATTATTTTAATTGTTAACAATTTGATTAAGTTATATGAGTTTGTAATACACTGAGATACATTCAAATTTCCGTTGTTATTTATTTTAGCGGGATCTTTCACAAAAATTTATTTTTAAAGTGCCATGATTAGATTACACGTATGCAGGGCACTGAATTTATAAGTAAATGGATCAAATAAATAAATGCATCAGATGTATATACATTTAAATAAAATTATTCACATATACATATATATAAGAAAAGTGAAATACATTTTTTAAAAAGATGAAAATATAAAATTAGCAATAAAAAAGAAGTGAAATAAAAGTAAAAATGGAAGTTTCTTGAACTTCTCTGCCACTGGAATACCTCTCTGGCCATGTTTTCTTCTTATGTCCTGCCCTGTTGCTAGACTTCCACAACTTTTGAAATAAATATTTTCCCTGTTATATTATTGAATCTGATAATATTTGTGCTGATCGGCAGCCTACTTTTTTCACTGTTTATTTTATAAAAATTTTTACGTTTCATAAGTAGATCCCTATGGTATTTTTAATAGTTACATAGTATGCCAGTGTATGATTGTTTTGTAATTTATTTAACAATTAACTTCTTAGTGGATAGTTAGATTGTTTCTAGTATTTTGCTGTTATTATATGAATATCCTTCACATATTTTACTATTCTGGGCCAATTATTTTCTTTGGACCTTTTCTTAGGAGAGGCATTTTGGTGACTAGAAATATATCCTCTATTTATACTGCATATTGTCAAACTGCCTTCTATAAAGTCTATACCAATGTATTCACTCAAGATTAACCTGTGTTCCTAAATTTTTATTAATCTTTTAAAATACTTGTTTATGTTAGGTAAAAAATTTCATCTTTCAATATTCTTTGATTCTGGAAAGATTGAACATATGTTTTGAAATGTATATTGGCCATTTGTAGGCATTTTATGAATTGCTTCCTAATATACCATTTCCATTTTCTACTAGAATGTTCACCTTTTCTTATTAATTTATACATTAATAGTATCAACTATTTTTTATATACAGGGTGGTCGCTAAGTCTAGAAACACAGGAAAATATATAATAAATGGTTTATAGATATTATAATTCATGATCAAATAATATCTGTTTCCAGATTTTATGGCTACCCTCTACATTCTACAGATAATTCCCTTTTCTCTCCCTACCTCCCAGTATGTCATTTATCATTAACTGAGTTTAGTGTGTTTTGTCAGAGGGATTATTTAGATTTTTATCTAAAAATGTGGCCAAATTTATAGGGATGTTTTATTTTCAGTTTTGGCTTTGGTTTTAGAAAGGCCCTTCTCATTGAGGAATTAGTCACCCAAATTTTCTCCCATGACTTTTATTACTTTATTTTAAATAATTGATCATTTAACCCACTTAGAATTTATATAGGTGTTAGTGTGAAGTAAGGCTCCATCTTTATTTTTCAGAATGGCCTGCTGGTTGTTCTCAGAAGAGGCCTCCACCTGAGGCTTTAATGACTGCTAACTAGCAGATTTCAAGCTCTTGGGAAATCCCTAACATCTCTGAGTCTCACTTTTCTCACTTGTAAAATGGGGAGTTAGAATATTTCTTATCTCAAATTGAAGTCCATGTAGGGTAAATAACTTGTCCAGAGTCTAACATCTTTTCTCATTTGGAATAGAACTTTACCCTGTACACTGTTTCTTTTTTTTTCTTTTCTGTTTTTTGTTTTTTGTTTGTTTGTTTGTTTTTGAGATGGAGTTTCACTCTTTTACTCTTGTTGCCCAGGCTGGAGTGCAGTGGCACAATCTTGGCTCACTGCAACCTCCGCTTCCCGGATTCAAGCAATTCTCCTGCCTCAGCCTCCCGAGTAGCTGGGATTACAGGCATGCACCACCACGCCCGGCTAATTTTGCATTTTTAGTAGAGACAGGGTTTCTCCATGTTGGTCAGGCTGGTCTTGAACTCCCAACCTCAGGTATCTGCCCGCCTTGGCCTCCCAAAGTGCTGGGATTACAGACGTGAGCAAGTGCACCCGGCCTACCGTGTACATTATTTCATGTGTCATTTGGATAACTATAGTTTGGGGTGAAAGGGATGATTTTTACCTTGATCATAAATTGAGAAATCTAAGGTTAGAGTTAGTGAATGGTATATAGATTCTTTTTTATTTTTGGTCAGCAGATGTTATTTTAAATTGATGAAATATATTATTTTATATAAAATACTTTTCATAACAGAAACTTTGAAATATGAAGTGCTCTCAGAAGAATTAGTAATGTTACTTTGTAAAAAATACAAGAAAATGTCAACTCAGAAATCAAAGTACAGATACAGAACATGGTTTTTATTTTGATTTTGTTTAAAAACTCTAACCTCAAGATGCTTTCTTGTTTAATAAATATAATGTAAATTTTTGAAAGATTTATAAAGAATTAAACAGGAAGGCCAGGTGTAGTGGCTCACACATGTAATCCAAGCACATTGGGAGGCCAAGGCAGGAAGATAACTTGAAGCCAAGAGTTCGAGAACAGCTTGGGCAGCATAGCAAGCCTCCATCTCTACTAAAAAAAAAAAAAAAAAAAAAAACCTGGGCATCATAAGGTGCATGCCTGTAGTCCCAGCTCCTCAGAAAACTGAGGCAGTAGGATCACTTGAGCCCAGGAGTTTGAGGCTGCAGTGAGCCATGATTGTGCTACTGCACTGCACTCCAGCCCGGGTGTCAGAGTGAGACCCTGTCTCAAAAAAACAAAAAAAGGAATTAAAAGAATTATACCAGAGAAAATGAGAAAATGCCCAGAGTCAGTCTTAGTGATTTCAGGATAACTCAAAAAAAAAAAAAAAAAGAAAGAAATTAAAAAATATTATTGAATGGTTTGTAGTCACTGAAGTCAGAGCTAGAAAAGACCTTAACTTACCTGATTTTTCTTTGATTTGCATTCTCTGATGGCCAGTGATGATGAGCATTTTTTCATGCGTCTGTTGGCTGCATAAATGTCTTCTTTTGAGAAGTGTCAGTTCATATCCTTCACCCACTTTTTGATGGGGTTGTTTGTTTTTTTCTTGTAAATTTGTTTAAGTTCTTTGTAGATTCTGGATATTAGCCCTTTATCAGATGGGTAGATTGCAAAAATTTTCTCCCATTCTGTAGGTTGCCTGTTCACTCTGATGGTAATTTCTTTTGCTGTGCAGAAGCTCTTTAGTTTAATTAGATTCCATTTGTCAATTTTGGCTTTTGTTGCCATTGCTTTTGGTGTTTTAGACATGAAGTCCTTGACCATGCCTATGTCCTGAATGGTATTGCCTAGGTTTTCTTCTAGGGTTTTTATGGTTTTAGGTCTGACATTTAAGTCTTTAATCCATCTTGAATGGCGATCATTAAAAAGTCAGGAAACAACAGGTGATGGAGAGGATGTGGAGAAATAGGAACACTTTTACACGTTGGTGGGATTGTAAACTAGTTCAACCACTGTGGAAGACAGTGTGGCAATTCCTCAAGGATCTAGAACTAGAAATACCATTTGACCCAGCCATCCCATTACTGGATATATACCCAAAGGATTATAAATCATGCTGCTATAAAGACACATGCACATGTATGTTTATTGCGGCACTATTCACAATAGCAAAGACTTGGAACCAACCTAAATGTCCATCAGTGATAGACTGGATTAAGAAAATGTGGCACATATACACCATGGAATACTATGCAGCCATAAAAAATGATGAGTTCATGTCATTTGTAGGGACATGGATGAAGCTGGAAACCATCATTCTGAGCAAACTATCACAAGGACAGAAAACCAGACACCGCATGTTCTCACTCATAGGTGGGAATTGAATAATGAGAACATATGGACACAGGGTGGGGAACACCACACACCGGGGCCTGTTGTGGGGTGGGGGGAGGAGGGAGGGATAGCATTAGGAGATATACCTAATGTAAATGACGAGTTAGTGGGTGCAGCACACCAACATGGCACACGTATACATATGTAACAAACCTGCACATTGTGCACATGTTTCCCAGAACTTAAAGTATAATAATAAATAAAAAAAAAAAGAATGTGGTTTTTCAGTAGTCCATTTTTTGCTATTTCTTAACAAGTTTTATAGAGTCTTGGCCTTTGACTTAGCCTTTTTATATTATCATTTCATATTGACTATTGAAAGGGTCTTATACTAGACCCATTGTGCCCACTGAGTAGGAGTTATGAGATGAAGTTATTTTGTTCTTTTTATTTTGGTAAAATTATTTTTTGTATTTTTACCTTTGCCTTTCAACAGGGCATCCTTAAATATCCCTCCAAATTCAGAATATGGGTTTAGGCTGGGTTTAACTTGCCAGACTGCTTAAAGCTGTTTGCTAATTGAATTTATCCAAATATATCATTTGTTGCAACTTTGATGTGTTTGTTTCACTCATCCACCATGGGCCGTTTACTGCCCACCACTTGGGGTGTCCCTGCTATCCACTTCACTTTGTAAACATTGGAAGATAGTTGAGTACCATGAAGAAAACAAAGACCTCGGGCTTTAGCACATAAAAAAAAAATTCCCGGCCGGACGCGGTGGCTCACGCCTGTAATCCCAGCACTTTGGGAGACCGAGTCGGGCAGATCATGAGGTCAGGAGATCGAGACCATCCTGGCTAACAAGGTGAAACCCCGTCTCTACTAAAAATGCAAAAAAAAAAAAAAAAAATTAGCCTGGCGTGGTGGCGGGCACCTGTAGTCCCAGCTACCAGGGAGGCAGAGGCAGGAGAACCCGGGAGGCGTAACTTGCAGTCAGCGGAGATCACGCCACTGCACTCCATCCTGGGTGACAGAGCGAAACTGCGTCTGAAAAAAAAAAAAGTTCCCAGATGCTGCTATTTGATTAGATTATCATATTTTGCATACTTTTAGAATCTTTAGCAAACATAACCTAAAATCAAAGTACACAGTACACATATCACAAAATTTGTGATAATTTTTGGCTGTTTTTCCAAACAGATTGAAGCTGCACGTGATAGTTTCCTTGTTTATCTCTATTGTTCCTTCCACACACCCATGTGACATTTATTTTCTTTGTGGTTGACTGAGAAAAAAAGTTAACTTTCCCATGTCCTTCCCCGGTCAGCTATCCTGTTTGCCTTAAATTCTATTGCTCTTCACTTGTGTTGGTACTTTCAGGCCTTTTTCACTAAACACTGTCTCTCTTCAAATACCTTCTCGGCTGCCATCATTCATGTTGAATCTTTCTTCAGTTAAAAAAGTTCAGCATGGACTTTTATGTTTTACTTCATTGTTAAATGTATATTATGGGTTAAATGTATTTATTTTTTTGAAAATATTATATGGGTATAGGTACAGAATTTTAAAAAGTTTCCTTTACATCTCTGTCCTCCAGTTATCCAGTTCCCCCTTTGAGCAATATCTATTATTGCATTTATTGTCAGTCTCCTTCTTGAGGGAGCCCATGTATTCATGTATGCATGTATATGTGAATATACACAGACACACAGACACACATACTTACAGACACACACATAATTGTATTTTTTGTATGCAGATGTTGGCATATTAGGTACATCCTACTGATATCTCTTAGCAAAAGCCAAGAGTTGGAGACCAGCTTGGGCAACATAGCAAGACACCCTCTCCGCTAAAAAAAAAAAAATTTAGCTGGGCATCATAGTATGCATGCCTGTAGTCCCAGCTACTTGGGAGGCCGAGGTGGGAGGGTCACTTGAGCCTGGGAGTTTGAGGCTGCAGCAAGCCATGATTGCACCACTGCACTCTAGCCAGGGGAACAGAGCAAGTATCTCTCTCTCAAAATAATAATAATAAAAAGACTTAAAGAGAAGAGGAAATGCTCAGAGGCATTCTTAGAGATTTCAGGATAACTCAAAAAAGAAAGAAAGAAAGAAGGAAGGAGGAAAGGAAGGAAGGAAGGAAAGAAAGAAAGAAAGAAAGAAAGAAAGAAAGAAAGAAAGAAAGAAAGAAAGAAAGAAACCAAGTAAAAAAGATATCTTCACTTAGCAAAATATCTTAGAGCTAATTCCATACTAATACATGTAGAAATGTTTCATTCTTTTTAAGGGCTACATAGTATATACCATTTGATGGATTTACCATAATTTACTAAATATTCCTCTGTTAAGGCTCATTAAGTTTGTTTACAGTTTTTTATTATTACAAATGGTGCTGTGGGCTGGGCATGGTGGTTTATGCCTGTAATCGCAGCACTTTGGGAGGCTGAGGCGGGCAGATCACCTGAGGTCAGGAGTTCAAGATCAGCCTGGCCAACATGGCGAAACCCGATCTCTATTAAAAATACAAAAAATTAGCCAGGCATGGTAGCATGCGCCTGTAATTCCAGCTACTCGGGAGGCTGAGGCAGGAGAATCACTTGAACCAGGGAGGTGAAGGTTGCAGAGAGCCAAGATCATGCTACTGCACTTCAGCCTGAGCGACAGAGCGAGACTCCATCTCAAAAACAAAAACAAGTGGTGCTGTGATGTCATGTACACATGTTTTTATATGTGTATTATATTACACATATAGGATTATATCTATAGGATAAATTCCAGAAATGAAATTGCTGAGTCAAAGGGAATACATAATTTATATTCTCACCAGAAACATATGAAAGTTCCTTTCTCATACCCTGTTTCCATCACATGCAACATTGCTCTAGCTGTTTTTGGCTTCCCCGTAGGGCCCTGAGGTGATGTTCTCCCATACTTCTCTCAGTTTTTCTGTTGTTATTATATTATTAGAAAGCTCTGCCTATTATGTGCCTGTTCCACCACAGCTCCCTCCATCCCACCAGTCTGTTTTCCTTCAAGACTCAGATCTATCATACATTCATCTTAGAAACATCCTTGCTCCATAATCACCATTCTGTTCCCTTCCCCTAGAACTTTCCAGGCCTGATTAGGTGCCCTCCTGTGTGTGTGTGTGTGTGTGTGTGTGTGTGTGTGTGTGTGTGTGATTCCTCTGCACACATGGTCGGTTTCCCCTGCACGCTTCTATTATGGTGCTCATCACTGTGAATTGTGTTCGTGGGTTCTTTGTACATTCTTTCGCCATTTTCATCTCTTTGTCCAAAACACTTTTCCTATGTCAACATGTAGTAGAGGCTCAGTAAATATGTTTTTGGATAAGATAACTTAAATCCAGTCAGAATTTTAGAATTAGATAGGGCCTTAGTGATCATTTTATATGTTTACTTTATTAGTGAAAAGTAGACTTTTAAATTTTAATGTTTTAAATTCAAAATTCAACAATTCGTTGTTTTAAACTTCTTTAAGAAAAAAAACAAACTAATTAAAGTCAGTAGTTTTTTACTTGCCTGTGACTTTTTTCTCCCTGGGTTCAAATCAATACCCCAGTATTACGGTCCTTAATGTACAGGGGTTTTATAATGGAACATGCTGCTGTTTCTTCAAACTCAACAAATATCAGATATATATATATATATCTTTTGTTTCTTCCCATTTTCCTTCTTGCTCAACTATCCTTTGTTCTCAGGACCTTGCTCCCTAGACCTGCCCAAGTTTGGAAAAGACTGAGAGGGAAGGAAGCTGAAAGCAAAGAATCACTGTTCTGGCTGGGTGCAGTGGCTCATGTCTGTAATCCCAGCATTTCAGGAGACCAAGGTGACAGGGTTTCTTGGGGTCAGGAAGTAGAGATCAGCCTGGGTCACGAAACTAGAACTCATCTCAAAAAAAAAAATCGCTTTTTTTTTCTTTCTTTTTGCTGGGGGACCTGTGAAAAGCATTGTGCCTTGACTGTGAAGGCCAAATGATGCTCTTAGTGCTCCCATCCCCGTTTCCTTTTTTACAGTCTAGACATTGATATTTAGGAACGATCTCGGTCTGTAGAGCAGACAGATTCTCATAATCTCTATTCACATTGATCTGGGGCAGAGAGGAAAAGAAAAGAGAGAGTCTTCACTGTTTACAAACTTTAAAAATATTAACCGCACCTAGTTGAGAAATGTGGACCATGGTGTGAAGATAACTCGGTCCTTCTCCATAGGGAGGGTAAGAATCCAGAAAAGTTATGCCAGTGCCAGTTTCCCTACCTGAAATCCAGTCACTCGAGGGAGAGGCTCCCTAACACACCTTTCATAACGCTTTTCGTTTATTTATTTATGTGCCCTTTTAATTGTACATACCTCTTCTGTGTGTTTTGGTGTTCATCTCGACATCTTTTGGCTATCTCTCCTTGAACTGTGGTAACCAAGTTTTCTTATCTTCAACCCCTATCATGACAGATGTTTTGCTTGTTATTTTGGATTGCCAATCATCAGCCAAGACTTTTACAGCTGTGATACCATTATTCATGTCTCAGGAATCTGCACAAAAGAAAAACCTCAGATTATTCTCAGGCATTTTGGGAAATATTCTGTTAGTCCTGTGCAATACCTAGTTCCTGCTTCCATTTAATTTCATTGCAATTTTAAAAATGTTTATGGAGTCCCTATTAACTCATAGTTTTGGACTTCTTGGTACTCTGCATAGAATATTTATAGGTTCTTTTTTTCTTCTCCATCCTCTTTACTTCATAGAAAAGGACAATGCTTAATTTTTATTAAAATATTCCCCACAGATGCCTAATTCATTTAATACTGAAATCTAGAATTAGAGCAAAAAGTTGAGAGAGCCATGAGAAGAATATGTCAGTGATGTAGATATATCTTGGATTCTTTTCACTTGGATGCATCTGTAGAGATTATTTTGTTTCAGGATCTCTTCTGTTCCTCAGTAGCTTAACATGAAGCCTTACCATTATGCGTTGATTTCTCTTTTATAAAAACATAATTTGAAATTTATGGCTGAAAAGCAGCAATGAAGACACTGTTTTTCCTTTTGCTGGGCTGTCGGCTGAATTTAGTTTGAGGAATACAATGGTTCATCAGATAATTGTGAAAAGAGGTGCCACATCCAAAGGCCTTAGATAATCAATCCTCTGTGTCTGGCATATAGACATTCACAATTGATAATATATATGATGTTTTCTCCTTTTCCATCTTATCTTCTTTTGCATGTTTTCAGATGTTGCAAAAAATTTAGTAATTTTCCACAAGAAAATTCACTCCTAAAAGGTTGTCCTAGAAACAGTTTTGTAAAATCTGGCAGGAGAGCAAAGCATATTTAACTTTTATGTTTGTAGTTTTGATATGATTATTAGCTCTGAAAATATAGAAACTAACTCAAGTTAGGTCATCGTGTCAAGGTCTTGATTTGTTTTCTTTCCATTTATTATTTATTTAAGCCAGTTTTAGGAGTGATTATGAGGCAATGGGAATTTTTAACAGGCCTTTCAAAACTTATACAGCCAAGTGAGTTATCCCTTTAAAGTTATTACCCTAGGAGGACATTGCATTTATTACAATAAAAGCTGTATTGCTCAAACCAATGTTAGATTGAGGGTAGGGCAGGTAGGATTTGCTTTTAATGTCTACAGCACATTATTGAATCTTTTTTTTTTTTTCTTAAGACAGGGTCTCGCTATGTTGTCCAGGCTGGTTTTGAACTCCTGGGCTCAAGCAATCCTCCTGTATTGGCCTCCCAAAGTTCTAGGATTACAGGCATGAGCCACCATGCCTGGCCACATTTTTGAATCTTTTTAATGATGGAATAACATCAATAGGGTATATTTGAGTTTTAGAAGTAGCCAACAGCTCTTCAGGATCATCTTTTCACTAGTTTAAGTGTTTAGCCTGACTAATTATTTGTTAATCACAAAAATATGGTTAGGAATTAAGGAAACTGTTTTTTCTTGTATGTCACATACATTGTCTCTGAAGCTAATTCCAAAAGATAAGCTTTAATTAAGTTTTGAACTATGGCAGCATCATTGACATAAATGAAGAAGATCTCAAGATGACAGTTTTAAAAATGACAACTCTCATCTGACTATTTAGTTCTGTTATAATAAGGAAAAAAGCCCATTCCATTATTTATTGTAGCATTCTGGTATTGTGAAAACACAAAGACATTTTAGTGGAATCAAAATAAAATAGTTTGTCTAGGTGTGATTACTATTAGCTCATCAGAAATAATTGTAAGTTGGCTGATATTTGCTGGAAATGGCCCTTGGAATGGAAAGCTAGGTCAGGAAATGACAGCTAATGGAATAGACTGAAATGTGAGAGAGTGGAAAGGTCACCTTTTAAGGACTTACTGCTGGAGTCTTGAGATAAATGGTGAGACATAATTTTCTACTCTTTGGTGCCTGTTTCATGCCCCCATTACTTAAATTTCCCTGGCTCAGGTTTAATCCAGTAATTTTCCATCATAACGATTATGTGCTCATGATAGAAAAACAAACATTTAAAAATGACCCACATTTTCTGGCTAGGTATAGCAGAGTGAACTCTTGCATATATCTTTGCTCCATTATAATGATAGTGAGGGTATAATAAACTAACAAGAATAAAACAGATGGGAGACATCAATAAAATTTTGGAAGATACAAGAAGAATGGACAAGTGGTAACTGACTTACCAGAGTGGAAAAAGCTGACTTCTGATTTCAACAAGAAGTAGCACTTGGGAAAAGTTCTAGAAATAGAGGTGATGAGATACCTCAGAAAACTGGGTGGTATAGGTCTGAGAAGAGAAGGTTATCTTAGTTTTGTAAGATATTAAACTCTAAAACTTTGTTTTAAAATGGGAAACCTGACAGTCATAGTTTTGTTTTATTTTGTTTCACATCTATAAACATATGGAAGAAAAGCGAAGTGCCAAGTCTACTTTTTTGGCTTAATGGTTATTTATGCTTTATAGCAAACAGAGATGTCTGTTTAAATATTCTTAATAGGATAACAGATTATTAAGGAAACAAACAGAATTACAGACTTTTTAGAAGTTATACTTACCTTCATAGGACATAACAACATATTTTCATGTCTGAATTGTGGGAAAGGGTCTACTGTTGGAAATAATGTTCACAAAGACTGTTCTGTTACATAGATTAGTACTTGCTTTCCTGATGATCTAAAAGAAAGGATGTTTTCTTTTCATCTTGATGGCCTTCCTTTCACCAGTAGTTGGAAGGGCCTGTAGTGTTAAAGCTAACTATTGCACTTCCACTAAGTAGAAAAAAAGCAGGCCTGAAAAGCATAAAGCTTATAATGTGAAATGAAAATGTCAGAAAAAGAATTTTAATCAATGGAATATAGAACATATACTGTGTTGCCTCTAGTGCTTGAATTTTCCTAAGGAGCAGTTAGAAGCCCAGCTAAGTTTCAGTAACCAGGGATATGCTTCTTCCTTTCCTGGCAGAAGTAGGAGGTTCTCTTTCTGGAGAAACAACCCACGTTTCTGGATTGTGGGCATAGTCAGCTGAGGGCAAGTGATATACTGAAAACAGGAGGGTGTACTGATTTCTATATGTTGAATCAGAGATCCTTAGTTCCCATCCCCAGGTTGCTCTCTGAACATTGACACCAAGTTTATGCTGTCCAACCAGGAGATTGGAGGTTCACTCTCTGGGCAAAGTGATCAATCCATGGTAAAGAATCTGTGGATGTTGACATTTAGGATCCTTCTAATGAAATTTCTGCCTCCCTCTAGAGACGCCCACCCATCCACAACCCTGCTGTTCTTCACAGAGCTTCCAGGAATGTCGTAATGCTTCACTGTCAACAACAATGGAGAGCCAAGGACGATCAGCTGTTTAACCAAAAAGAAAGAGAGCAGAGAAACAAATGAATTCAGTTGAAACAATGAAAAATTTGGGAACAGAAGAAAATCTTTAAAGCTCAAAGCTATAATAATATATAGGCCTACCTTGGAGAGATTGAGAGTTCAATTCCAAACTGCCTCAATACAGCAAATATCACAATAAAGCAAGTCACGTACATTTTATGGTTTCTCAGTTCATATAAAAGTTATGTTCAGACACCTGTACTCATATGTTCAATGAAGCACTACTCATAATAGCGAAAACATGGACTCAACCTAGGCGCTGATCGATGGTGGACTGGATTTAAAAATGTGGCATATATACACCATGGAATACTATGCAGTCATAAAAGAATGAAATCATGTCTTTTGCAGGAACGTGAATACAGCTGAAGACCATTGTCCTAAGTGAATTAGTGCAGAAACAAAAAAAGAAATACTGCATGTTCTTACTTATAAGTGAAAGCTAAACATTGGGTACGCATGGTGGACATAATGATAGAAACAATAGACACTAGGGACTCGAAAAGGGGAGAAAGGGATGGGGACAAACGTTGAAAAACTACTTACTGGGTACTATATTTACTATTTGGTTGAGGGGTTCAGTAAAAGCCAAACCTCTTAATTATACAATATATATACATGCACATGCACCCCATGAATCTAAAAAAAAACCCCAATACTGTGTTTACACTATATTATAGTCTAGTAAGTGTGCAACAGCATTATGTCTAAAAAAAGTATATACTCTAATTAAAAAATACTTTACTGCTAAAAATGCTAATGATCATCTTAGATTTCAGCAAATTATAATCTTTTTGCCACTCGGGGGTCTTGCCTCAGTGTTGATGGCTGCTGACTGATCAGAATTGTGGTTGCTGAAGGTTGGGGTATTTGTGGCAATTTCTTAAAATAACAATTAAGTTTGCTGCATTGATTACTTTCACAAAAGATTTCTCCATAGCATGAGATGCTGTTTGATAGCAATTTACGCATAGCAGAACTTCTTTCAGATTTGGACTTAATCCTCTAGAACTCTACCACTGCTTTATCAGCTAAGTTTATATTATTTTAAATCTTTGTTGTTATTTCAACAGTGTTCACAACATTTTCACCAGGAGTAGATTCTGCCTTAAAAATACACTGTTTTTGGCTGGGCGCAGTGGCTCACGCCTGTAATCCTAGCACTTTGGGAGGCCGAGGTGGGTGGATTACGAGGTTAGGAGATCGAAACCATCCTGGCTAATGGTGAAACCCGTCTCTACTAAAAATAAAAAAATTAGCCGGGCATGGTGGCGGGTGCCTGTAGTCTCAGGCTACTCAGGAGGCTGAGGCAGGAGAATGGCATGAACCTGGGAGGCAGACCTTGCAGTGAGCCAAGATTGTGCCACTGCACTCCACCCTGGGCGACAGAATGAGACTCCATCTCAAAAAAAAAAAAAAACAAAAAACACTTTTTTTCGCTCATCCATAAGAAGTGACTCGGCCAGGTGCAGTGGCTCATGCCTGTAATCCCAGCACTTTGGGAGGCTGAGGAGGGCGAATCACTTGAGGTCAGGAATTCGAGACCAGCCTGGCCAACATGGTGAAACCCTGTCTCTACTAAAAATACAAAACTTAGCCTGGTGTGGTGGCAGGCACCTGTAGTCCCATCTACTCAGGAGGCTGAGGCAGGAGAATCACTTGAACCCAGGAAACAAAGGTTGCAGTGAGCTGAGATTGCACCACTGCACTCCAGCCTGGGTGACAGAGCAAGACTCTGTCTCAAAAAAAAAAAGAGTCCTCCTCCATCCAGATTTGATCATGAAATGTAGCATTCAGTCACATCTTCAGACTACATGTCTAATTCTAGTTATCTTGCTATTTCTACGACATCTGCAGGACTTCCTCCACTGAAGTCTTTAACCCTAAACCATCCATGATGGTCAAAATCAACTTCTTCCAAACTCATATTTGTGTTGATATTTTGACTTCCTCTTATGAATATGGATGTTCTTAATGGCATCTAGATGGGGCGAAGGTTTTCAATTTACTTTGCCCAGATCCATCAGAGGAATCGCTATCTATGGCAGCAATAGCCTTACAAAATGTATTTTTTAAATAATAAGACTTGAAGTTGAAATTACTTCTTGGTCTGTGGGCTGCAAAATGGATGTGGTGTTAGAAAGTATGAAAACAACATTAATCTTGTACATCTCCATCAGAGCTCTTAGGTGACTAGTTGCATTGTCAATGAATAGCAATATTTTGAAAGAAATATTTTTTTCCTGAGCAGTAGATCTCAATGACGGGCTGAAAATATTCAGTAAACCACATTGTCAAAAGATATGCTGTCATCCAGGCTTTGTTGTTGCATTTATGGAGCACAGGCAGAGTAGATTTAGGATAATTCCTAAGGGCCTTAGGATTCTCAGAATGGTGAGTGAGTATTGGCTTAAAGTCACCAGCTGCATTAGCCCTAAACAAAAGAGTCAGCCTTCTCTTTCTTTCTCTCTCTCTCTCTTTTTTTTTTTTTTTTTTTTTGAGGCAGAGTCTCAGTTTGTGGCCCAGGCTGGAGTACAGTGACACAATCACAGCTCACTGCAGCCTAAACTTCCTGGGCTGAAGTAATCAACCTGCCTAGCCTCCCAAATAGCTTGGACTACAGGTGTGTACCACCACACCTGGGTGCTTTTTAAAATTTTTTGTAGAGACAGGGTCCTGCTGTGTTGCCCAGGCTAGTCTCAAACACCTGAGCTCAAGCCATCGTCTTGCCTTGGTCTCCTGAAGTGCTAGAATTACAGGTATAAGCCACTGACCTGAGCCCTTCTTTTGAAGCGTTGAAACCAGGTATTGACTTCTCCTCTCTGGCTAGGAAAGTCCTAGATGACATCTTCTTCCAATAAAAGGCTGTTTTGTCTATGTTGAAAATCTGTTGTGTGCTATAGCCACCTTCAATTGTCTTGTCTAGATCTTCTAGATAAATTGTGGCAGCTTCTCCATCAGCACTTGCTGCTTTACCTTGTAATTTTATATTGTGGAGACTGCTTCCTTCTTTAAACCTCATCAAGCAGCCTCTGCTAGCTTCAAACATTTCTTCTGCAACTTCCTCATGTCTCTCAGCCTTCATATAGTTAAAGAGAGTTAGGGCCTTATTCTGGGTTAGGTTTTGGCTTAAGGGAATATGTGGCTGGTTTGATCTTCTATCTAGACCACTAAAACTTTCTTCATATCAGCAATAAGGCTGTTTTGCTTTTTTATCATTCATGTGTTCAGTATAGCAGCATTTTTAATTTCCTTCAAGAACTTTTCCTTTGCATTCACAACTTGGCTAACTGTTTGGCATTAAGAGGTTTAGTTTTTGACTTATCTTGGCTTTCAACATGCCTTCCTCACTAAGCTTAATTGTGTCTAGCTTTTGATTTAAAGTAAGAGACATGCAACTCCTCCTTTTCTTGGACACTTAGAAGCCAATGTAGGGTTATTAATTGACCTAATTTCCATATTGTTTTGTCTCAGGGAATAGGGATGCCTGTGGAGAGGGAGGGAGATGGGGGAATGGCCAATCAGTTGAGCAGTGAGAACACACACAAAATTTATTAAGCTCGCTCTCTTATATGGGTTTGATTCATTGTACCCTCAAACAATTATAATAGTAACATCAAAGGTCACTGATTACAGATCACCATAACAGGTAAATTAATGAAAAGTTTTAAATATTGTGAGAATTACCAAAATATGACACAGACACAAAGTGAGCATATGCTGTTGGAAAATGGCGCTGATAGACTTGCTTGGTGCCGGATTGTTACAAACCTTCAATTTGTAAAACAACAATAGCAATAACAAGAACAAAAACACAGTATCTGTGAAGCACAATAAAGCAAAGCACAATAAAACAAGGTATGCCTGTATTCAAAGAGATAACTACTGCATTTATGAAAAAAGAAAATCATACTTAAAAATGCAGAGAAAAACACCTAGAAAAAACAGTAGAAACAGTAACAAAGCAGTAGACGTTTGAATACTATGGTTGAAAATAAAAGTTCTCCCAGAAAACAGGACAAAAGATGAAGAAGTGGAATATAGGAGAGACAAGATAAAAACTTAGAGGATCATTCACCATGGTAGTGATATTAAGAAAAGAAAATTTAGAGGATCATTCAGGAGACTAAACATCTGACTGGTAGGAGTCCCAGAAAGACACTAGAGAAAGGACAGAGAGGAAATTATCAAAGAAATATTTTAAGAAAATTTTTCATAACTTAAGGACAGGAATTTCTAGATTGAAAGTGCCCATTGAAAGCCCAGGACAGTGAATGAAAGAAGACCCACATGAAGACATACAATTTTGATGTTTTAGAATGGTGGAGATAAAAGAGAAGATCACAAGGCTTCCATAGAGGAAAAAACAGGTCACATGGGAAAGATCAGAATCAGAATAGCATTAGACAGACTTATTACTAGCCATACTAGGAGACAATGGAGCAATGCTGTGTAAGTTCTGCAGGATTTCTGTACTTACAAATCCAAACCATCAATCAAAGATGAGTTCTCAGAAAATATATGTGCAAGATTTAAAATAAATTAACATCATGCATTCTTTATTTGGAAGGCATTGGAGACTGAGCTCCACCAAAATAAGAGGGAGAAGATCAAGAAAATGTGAGATATAGGAAACAGTTTACAATGAAGTGAGAAGCCAAGGGAATTCCCAGGATCATAGGTTCTAGGATTATGGCTGTACAACAGGCCTAGGGTGCAGTTAGTCCAGATGTGAGCAGGAGGATGGAAGGCCACAGGAGGGATGTAGCCAAGAAAATATTGGAATTAATTTATTACCTAATATATTTGCCCATATCGAAGGCTTTATAGTTACGTAGAAAAGTTTAATGCTGATGTAGCTACATATGTAGAAAACTAGACAAATGAAAAGAGAAGAAAATTATGGGAGGAGTAAAGATACAGGTTGAGGTTGGGTTTAGTGGTCCAGAGAATGAGCTTTGTAGTCAGGCTATCTGAATTTGAATGCTGTCTATAACACTTAGTACTACTAACCGCATACCCTTGAGTAAATTACCTTTCTGTCCTTCAGTTTCCTCATCTATATGGAGATACTAATCATACCTACCACTTTAGTCTACTCCTGCTTCTATAACAAAGTACCACAGACTGAGTAATTTATAAATCATAGAATTTTTTTTCCTCACAGTTCTGGAGACTGGGAAGTTCAAGATCAAGGCACTGGCAGATTCAGTGTCTGGTAAGGGGTCATTCACTGCTTCCAAGATGGTGCCTTTGTGCTGTGTCCTCCAGGGGTGACAAATGCTTTGTTTTCACGTGGCAGACAGGATAGAAGGGCAAAGGGGACTAACTTTCTAAAGATTTTATAAAGGCACTAATCTGTTCTATGAGGGCAGAGCTTTCATGACCCAATAACCTCCCAAAGGCCTCACCTCTTAATATCATCCCCTTGAGGGTTAAGTTCCAATGTAAAAACTTTGGAAGGATGCATCCATTCAAACCACAGCACCTACTTAGCATGTTGTTATGTGGATCAGATGAGCTAATACATGCAAAACCATTAGATCAGTAGAAATAGTACTAGTAATCATAGTAATAGTAGTAGTAGTGGTAGCAGTGGTAATAGTAGTAGGTGCTCAAAATTGTTAACTATTATTTCTATTATTGCTGTTATTTTTAAAATTGAAAAATAATTAAGATGTTTAATACTTTTCTTGAGAAATTTTGTGATAAGTACCCAGAAGAAACTGTTTAAAATAATAAACCCAAAACAAAACATTTTTAATGACCTATAGTGCCACCACTCAAAGGTGAAATTTTTAAACATGTAGGTGTATTTTTTCCCGTGCATTGTTTTATTTATATAATTGTTACATTCTCTCTATATAATTTTGTGTTCTGCTTTTGTTTTTTAACATAAAAGAACCATATTACCTGTTAATGCAAACTCTAATTGAAGAGTTTTTGTTGACTTCATTATTTTCCACTAAATGTATGGAAAATATTTCGTTTAACCAAGTATCTATTTTTATATATTTGGTTTGCTTTGTGAATAACATTGGGTGATGCTTTTCTAAAATACATTTCAAAATTTAATTTTATTATTAGAAATATAATACATGTTTATTATAGACATTTTAAGGTGCCAAAATAAGATCAGTAAAATTAATGTAATAGTAATCTAACTAGCTAGAGATAAGCACTGCTAGCGTCTTCATAATGTATGCCTGTTGTCTTTTTTCTTGACAATATATATTTTTTATTTCTTTTGCAAAATGTAGAACTTTTCTTGTAGATGGTATGACCACCTTTTGATATCTTCTATGGCATGTTAGTGTCAGCAGAGTGTTTAATTGTAAATTTTGGGATCTTATTTTTTAAATTGCTTTAAAATTTTTCAGTGTTTCACAATGATAGTGTATGGAAGATCTTTACAGCTACACATCTATTTTAAAATTATTCAAAATTATTCCTTAAATTCTTAGAAACAGAATTGCAGGTTCAAAAGGTATACACTTAATATGTATTGTCAAATTTCCCTCCATGAAAATTCTACAAAACTCTATGCTCACAGCCTTGTCAACACTAGGTTTTCTGATATTATCTTTTTAATTCCATAAAATGTCTCCTATATTTAGAGTTATTTTTCTTCATTAGATTCTTAGGTACAAAGAATATTAGAAGTTTAAGACTTTTACTGTTTTGAAAAATTGCTTTATCAGAAGAGGACAGTATTTGACTGTCATTAACAGTGGATAATAATGTCTGCTACTCTGTCTTCTCACTAATGATGGAATTGTTATATTCTTCATGTGGATGATAAGCGAAATGTTGACAGGTTAACAGAGTAGATCTTAAGCCTTGCAGTACTCCAGGCAAGATAGCATGGTGGCTCAGACCAGGGTGGTGGCAATGGAAATGTTCATATTCTGGAAATTTTTTTTGAAAACACTATTGACAGAATTTTCTTATCAGTTCCATATATGATTTGTAAGAGAGATTAAAGAGTCAATGATCACTCTATGATTTTTGGCCAGGGTAACTGGAAAATTGAAGTAGCCATTTAAGAAGCTTGGAAGATTATAGGAGAATCATGTTTGTCAAGCAAGATCAGGAGCCCAAGTTTGGACATGTTAAGTGTGATGCTTATTTAATAAGTAAGAGATGTTGAGTATATAGTTGGATATATGATTCTGGTGTTTAGAGGAGAATTCTAAGCTGGAGAAACATCAGCATATAATTGAGTACAATTATATCCTGTATAATTAATTAAGAGAAAACATTAGATGAAATCACCGAGGAAGAGAGTGTCAAAAGAAAAGAGGAGGATCAAGTACTGATCCCTGGGGGTACTCCAATGTTTAGGAACTGTAGCGATGAGAAGAAACCTACAAAGGAGACAGAAGCAGCAGCAAGAGAAAGGAGAAAAACCAGGACTGTGTGGTTCCTGGTAGGAAATTGAAGGAAATATTTCCAAGAGGAGGGGTGATCAGCTATGTCAAATGCTGCTTATACATCAAGTAAGATTAAGACTAAGAATTAACTGTTAGATTTAACGATATAGAGGTAGCTAAATAGTGACCATGAAAATACAGTTTTGGTGAAGCGGTGTGGTGAAAACCAGATTAGATGGGATCTGATTTTCAAGTGATTAATATTATAAAAATGCCCAATAATTCAACATTAAGTGCCCAAAATCTCCATTTCTAGGGTACTCATAAGAAGTCTAAGTAAATTTTGAAGTAAGTCTGGCAATTTTACCCTTAAAAAACTACAAAACATTAGTCCTTTACTTGACTGTAATGGGGAGGAACATGTCTCCCTCTGTTGATTATTTGCAATAAGATTCACCAGGGACTCATTTGAATTGCCTTGGTGTAGTGTGTTCCCTGGTACCTTGGCTTTTTTTTTTTTTTAAATTATACTTTAAGTTTTAGGGTACATGTGCACAATGTGCAGGTTAGTTACATATGTATACATGTGCCATGCTGGTGTGCTGCACCCATTAACTCGTCATTCAGCATTAGGTATATCTCCTAATGCTAACCCTCCCTCCTCCCCCCACCCCACAACAGTCCCCGAGTACCTTGGCTTTTAAAGTGGTATTGAGCCACAATGATCAGATATGCCAACAGGCCATTATATGTTAATAGAATTTTACTAGCATATTTGTAGACTGTTAATTTGATTAAACTTTCATGTCTTGGTAACTTTTCTTTATAGCAGAATAAACGTAGAAGATTCTGATTTGGTAGGCCTGACGGTGTCTAGGCATTTTTTTAAAAAATCTGATTCTGCTGCAAAGCCGGCTTGGAAAACTTTGCTTTATTAGGAACAGGATTCTATAAATAAGAGCTAACATTCATGATAGTGGCAGGCTCAGCTTTTACTTGATCACATTTATTGTAAGTGCCCTAGTCCTAGCATACACATTTAAAGCTCCCTGATAATTTTCATCAGATTGTGACTTCCTCAATAGAAGTAACAAAAATAGCCTCACCTTTAGACACAGGGGTACACAGAAAATTTCTTTTATGTGCATAAGCAAGAGAGAAATTATATTTACAAACTGGAAAAGTAATTAAGTGAAACTTTCATCCAAAAATCAGATATTTAATAAACTTTTAATTCCCTTTTGTAGTTTCCTTTTAATTTAGTTTAAACAACATAAACATTTTAAATACCACTCATTACATGCTGAGGGTATAGATAACAGTTTTGGCACTTTAAAAAAAGCTGAGGAATGGATGGTTAATTCTCAGTGATATTTATTCATTTTCTATAGTGAGGATTCTCTAGTATATCAAAAGGATCTGGAGGGTTGGTGCATGGCTAGAGAAACTAAGAAAATAAAGATGATGAAATGGAGGTGTTGGGGAGGGATTCAGAGAATGGAGAGAATGGGAAGAATGTTTTCTTTAAAAAACCTTTCCAAGCTCATAATTTGTTATTCCTCTTAAATGAAATAATGAAATTTGGATCCTTAAAGCTTCCATTTTTTCCAGTTCTCTTCTTCTGGAGAGGTTTTCATAGTTTAAAGACCTTATGAAATCTTTGATTTTCGATTGTGAACTATGATCTGTGGGCTTCTTTTATTTTCACTGGTTGGATTATAATCATATTTGAAGTCTTATGATTCTTTTATATTGGTCCAAAGAAAGTTACATTTAATATTTGGTGACTGCTCTAAGGAAAACATAGTAATTTGGGGCAGCATAACAATCACTGAATGTTAGAACAAGAAGGCATAGCTTGTTACAGTATATTATAATCTTTACAGTGTATATTGTTTTGCACAATTCTGTAGGTCAACTGGGCAGATATGCTTTATGTAGTGTCAGCTGGGATGCTATTATATCTGGAAGATGCAAACTTGCCTCAATCACGTGTTTGGAAATTGGTGTCAGTGTTGGCTTGGAATTCACTGGGTCTGTCAGCTAGGGACATGATTCTCCTCCACATGGTCTTTTTATGTGATTGCTTGGGCTTCCTGACAGCATGGTGGCTGGATTCAAAGGAGAATTCTACATGCATGAAAATGGAATCTGCAGATCTCAGATGTTACGCAGAGCTGTAGTTTGAATGTTTGTCACCTCTAAATATCATGTTGAAATTTAATTGCCATTGTAACAGTATGAAGAGGTGGGACCTTTTAAGGGTCATTAGGCCATGAGGGCTGGCTGCACTCACAGGCCTGGGATTGGTGCCTTATTAAAGGGCAAGTTGGATTCCCTCTTGCTTCTGTGTGTGCTCTCCCCCTCTCTCTCTGGCTCGCTCTCACCCTCTCTTGTCTTCCCTTACCTTCCCTCCCTCTTCCTCCCTCTCCCTACCTCTTTCCCTCTCTTCTCCCTGTCTCCTTCCTCCCTATGTTTCTCCTTCTCTCCCTTTCCTTCTCTCTCCCTCTCTCCTTCTGCTTTCCTTCTCTCCTTCTCTCCTTCTACCATATGATGACACAGCAAAAAGGCCCTCACAAGTTGCTGGCACCTTGATATTGGACTTCCCAGCCTCTGGAACTGTGAGCCAACATATTTCTGTTCATTCTACATTACCTAGTCTGTGATATTCTGTTACAGCAGCACAAAACAGACTAAGACACACAATATCACTTCTGTCTCATATTTTTCACAGGGCCAGCTCAGATTCAAGGGGAGAAGAAATGATTTCCACTTCGCCATTAGAAGAGTTACAATTTATTGCCTTCTTTAATCAACCACAGTTTGTCCTTTGGCCACAAATTATTTGTATTTATCACATATGCAGAATGCATTGAATTCCTCCAGAGACCCCTGAAAAATCTTATTCCATTATAGTATCAGGCTCAAATGCAAGGTTCAGGTTCTCATCATCTGAATTAGGTCCAGGTGTAGATAAGGCTGCTTAGATGAGGTAGCCCAGGTGTAGACCCTTGAACCAAAAAGATAACCTGAAATACAGGGTGGATAGGGGCAGGATGACTGCAGTAGATACTCCTGTTCAAAAAGTGGGAAATAGCTACTCGGCAGTCACTGGTCCATTGAATTTCTGATACTGAATCAGGTATGTCACTGGTTTCTCCTGCTTTGGCAGAAGGGAATATATGTTGATTAAGGCTCTGCTTTGCTTCCTGGGAGCAGTCCTTTTGTGGTTCTTGGGTTCATCCTCTGAGTCAACATTTATTTTTTTTTTAAAAGAAATGTGCCGGGCTTTAAGCTAGCTATCTTTCTGGTCTGTTTCCTCACTATAAAGAGTTTGAACTGACTGTCCATTTTGGTCCAAGCTGGTGTGGTTCCAGTGATATAATTCTCTTAAGAACTTCACAGGTTTCATGTGAATCTCATTGGCATTTACCCCATTAGACAAATCCACATCCACAGATCTTTTTGAGATAGGTCCCTCTCTACTGTGAGTTAAGATGCTATGGGACAATGCACTGAAGATCCATACTAGCCTTTTTGTTTAGGTGAGAATGTCTATGAGAACCTACAAGATACTTAGAAACTCTTTTGTCTAGCTGAGGCCCTTAATAGTTTTCGGAACTCTTTTACATAGATGATTTGGTAAAGGCGAAACAGCCTTTAGTCTGTCTGAGTTATAACAAAGCGTTTTAAAACTACACCCTTGACTTACTCTTGACCTTGAGATTACATCTTACTGGCAGCACCTTGGATTAGATCTTTGCTCTGAGGCTGTTTCTTTGAAAATCTATTGCACATTCAAGTTGCTTTGTTCATTTGTTTGCTTCTTATGCAAGCATCACTTCAGAAGCACATGATTTTGTTTTTTTCTATTATTGGTTATGTTAACTGTGATCACTTGGTTAAGGTGATGTCTCCAGTTTTTTTTTCACTGTCAAGTTGTTACTAGGATACATTTTGAAGGTAGAATTGAATGTTCGGATTTGACTGAGAGAGTTATGCATTAGACATGTTGAATTTGAGATGCCTATTTGACATCCTAGTAGAGACTGGTTCAGAAACAGGGGTGCTGGTAGATTGGAAAGATGAGGTAGTCTTGTTTTCATTTTTCCAGTGAATACAGAAGTGAGATTATCTGAAGGGAGTGATAATGAGGGAGCACAGTAGAGATGTGAGGAGAGAGATTTAGAAGGATCTTCTCAGAGTAAATTGACTGGAAAAGCGTAGTGGACTTAAGGGCAGTGTTGTGATGAGGGACCATTTGACAACTGTGATCCTACACCAGCCTATGACCATTCAAGATGTTCTATTTCTTGGAGTCAGACTTTGATTAGTAGAAGGAGTTTTACTGTGATTGAGGTTTGGTCAAGCAAGTACAGTGGAAAGAGGGGTAAATTAGTTTAGAGTGTGTGAAGGGAGGTGATTTATCAGGACAGATCATGGAAGATAAACTGGATTAAGTAGACAAGAAGGTGAGGAGAGTGAAAAAGTGGTAGATAGGCTCAATGGTTTTAAGTTCCAAAACAGTGAGATAGAGTTCTAGAGAAAGATGAATAGATATGAGATGGTGAATAGGGTATGTGAATGATTGAAATCAGGATATGGGATGCATTTCATCTATGTTCTGGTTTAATACCATACCAGCTTTATGAAGTGATTTTTTTTTTTTTTTTTTTTTTAGTGTCTCCATTTTAAACAGAAGCAAATTATGTTGATCAAGATTAAGCAGCTTGGCCAAGGGTACACAATTAGTAAATGGCAGAGCTTGGATGGAAAATTAAAATATTTGTTTTTGTTTTTAACTCCCAAACCTTTGTATAATACTGTACGAGCTGTCTCTGATTCATGACAGTTGCCCACTACACAAAGGATAATCATTATTATGACTGAAAATGTTTACATTATATTTGTTTTGCTTTTTTAGGCTTGTTATGACATGCAAATGAAAAAAGGTCTCAGAAAACATTTCTAATTTTATAAACATCTTACTTCCTTTAGAGAATGAGTGGCCTTTAGAAATTGGTTGAAAATGATTTTTACTTTTATATTTCAAAGTTCACAAACAAGCATTCACACATCATTATTAAGCTATTAGTATGGAGTGAATTCTACCTGACCCATTTACATTAATATAAAATTTCCTTTATGTTAAGGAGGTCTTCCATTTTCCTACACTTAAAATGATTTAAGTAGATCCCTATATAATGATGAACAATGATGTTCTAAAGAAAATAACAAGATAATTTGATTATCTCTACTTCAGGAAGCTTCAAGAAAATTAACTTAGGTTCTAACTTGATGATAGTAAAGATTTTATGGTTTAGTAGAGGGAAAAGTGAAAGTTTAAATTTAAGGATTCTCACCCTAATCATTAAAATAACAATACTTTGCAGACTTTCACAATATGCAAACAAACAAAACCAAATTGCATGAGCTGTTTTTGGTTTAAAATTACATGGAGCGCTTTCCAGCAATACTTGTATATAGAGGCTTGATTGAAATAGCTGCATAATTCCTGAGCAGAGGGCTTTTCTTTGCTGTAATTACATTCGTGCAGTGACTCATATTCTCTTAATGCCTAGATTTTATAATTCAAAGGGAAATGTTCCCTTGAAATTTGAAAGCCTGGAGGACTCAAAAGTAGTTTTTAGATTTTATTATTATTATTATTACTACTACTATTCCTACACCACAGCTAGTATTCCTCTGAGGAGTATTTGACTTAGGTGATTTTGATTTCACTCATGCTGGCTGCAGTAGTGGGGTTTGACTCATGTGACAGTGAGAGAGCAAGGGTCCCAAAGATGTCTAGCACAGGGATAGGGTGTTCTGCATTCAGGGACTTCAGCAGTGGAGATGTGGGGCTTTCACTCTGGTATTCACCACCGTACAGCTCAGTTTCTTTTAAGTGTCAACTTACTTTTGACTTTCTGTTTCTCTTTCCTTCATCAGCTGAATGATTTTTTTCTGAATTTACAAGTTCAGATTCCCAGGAGAGGGAACCTGGCTGGCTCTGCTGATAAACATGCCTCTGTATGATGATGTTTCTCTCCTACATCTGGGGAAGTTTTTAAGACTGATAGCAAGGTTGGAGGACAGTCCTTTGCAAACACCTGGCTAGTATCTCTCCTGTTTTGGGTAAACAGGGTGTGATGTGGATGCTGGAGCAATTACCAGTTTTGCCTGAGGCAGGTCTTTCCATATAATTTTACGTTTTTGTTATAAGCCCTTGGAAATTTGTGAAATATATAATATACTCATGATGAAGACAAAAAAAGAGACAATTTTCAATTGGATGTACAACAGGTACTTTCTTCACCACTCTCCTTTCCAACAATATTGTTCAGTTCTCTGTAAAGAATCATGATGGTCAAGGAAGGCCTGGCAGGAGAATCTTGATTGTTCAAAGACAAATGTTCTTGTCAAAGGATTGGTTTAGGAGTGGCCATATAATGTAATTCTGGCAGAAGATACTTGAGAAGATGAATGCTAAGAGCTATTTTTGAAAGGGCTTGTTCACTTTTAAAAATAAATACAAGGCTTTTTTTCTTTTTTTAATCTTGGAATAATGTATTTTCTATAAGATGGTGAGAATTGCAGCCATCATATCAGGGTCATGAGAGGAGCCAGTTAAGAGAGCCCCGGCTACCATGCTGAGGGCAGAGCAGAAAGTTGTAAACACCCCTCATCTCATTAATGGCACTGAGCCACCACGTGAGCCAACCCTGGAACTGCCCTGATGTCAGATGGGAAGATTACTTTGATGCAATGGTAGCCTCCAAGTATGCTTAGGTGAGCTATCCTAGAGGTGAGGGAACCAAAAGCTCCCACAGACTAAATTCCAATCCTCAAATCACGTAATTCACTAAATTAATTTAAAGTGCACAGTGAGAGGCAAGAGGAAAGATTATTAGGTTGGTATACCTGGGTTAGGGGCAAGTAGGGTAGAGGGGCCATGCCAGCTAATCCTGGGATACATAGTGTTCATGTTCATACATCTGCATATGCCTTCCCCACTGATGGTGTGGTTACAAGGACCAGAGTTGAGGTTTGGGCAAGCCCCAAAGATAGCAGTCGTCCCAAGCTAATAACACCTGCTCAAGTGTCTGAGAGATACTGGGACAAGTATGCCTAGTCAGTGGCTGTGGCTTGCCAGTTAGCCTCACAAACAGTCATGAGTTCTGTTATGTTTATTGGACAGATAACAAATGGAGCAGGAAAGAGTATCAGCAGTTGTTAATCAGGGTAATTTTGTACCCCAGTGTACATTTAGCAATGTCTGGAGACATTTTTGATTGTCATGACTGGTGTATGTAAGAGATGCTACTGGCATCTATTAGGTAGAATCTAGGGATGCTAAGTGTGCTACAGTGAACAAGACAGCCTCCCAAGACAAAGAATTATCTGGCCCAAAGTATCAATTGTGTCGAAGCTGAAAAACCCCCTCATGAATATTAAGTACATATGTATATTTAGTGTATCCTGGATATTTAGTGCCTCTTATATATTTAATATATCATGAACATTTATTACTCATATGCTTCAAGAGTAATTGACATTTCTTGATCTTGCAGCCCTTTCTGTCAGTGTGTAACACATATACAATCTTCTTTTTATACTTTATACATCTGTGAATTCTGTTCATGTCTTACTAGCAAAATATATACTGAAAATATCTTAAAAGGGTTTGCCTATATTTTATAAACATCAAATTTATTTATCAAGTAGAACTGAATATCCTCAAAAGCAAATTTATATTATGCTAGACCTGGAATTTCAAAGAAGAAATAAGATGATAAATGTCCTGATTGTTTAATATACTTTTTGTTGTGTTTTCTACAGCTTGCAGCTGAGAGCGTGCTAGCTGATTCTAACATAAAGTCAGTAAGAACATCTATTCTCAAGATAAATGAAGCATTGACTTAGACTATAATTACAAGTTTTCTAAATAGTAATATAAGTGTCAGATAATACAGGATTATGGTGCCTGCATTAATGTAATGCTTGTTTGATCGTTCTGTTTACATTTCAAGCAATTGTAGGCATGGTGCTTATCATGATGAACCTCTGTGCTCAAAAATGCACATTTTTAGATGATTGGAACAGTTTTAGTTTGATGACCTTCAGTTCACTTAAGGAGTTTTTAGTTGGCTCAATGTCTATTAATAGAGCAACACTAGAAATTTATAGCTTGATGCATTTTTTAAAATTTATTAATGATAGTTTTATTTATATTTTAGTGCTTTAAAAGATTAAAAATATTTTACGGAAGTTGTGTCTTGAGACCCCTCCATTAAAAGGGAAAGTTTTTCATATATATGAAATTAAAGAGAAGCATATTTAAGATTATAGAAACATGTAAATGTTGTTTAGGATTGATTTCAAAAAAGAATAATTTTCAAATGTTGATGGTATATATTCCATTTCATTTCTTTTAACTTTCTTTGCCTTTTTTTATTTTGTGATGAAAACTAACATTTTGTCAGATGAAAATATCACATATAACACATTAAAGAAATGGTAAGGCATAATATACAATTAAAACTGTTTGATAAAAAGTTAAAGTAAAAAATTAAGGACAATATGTCTTTAAAATAATGATGTGCTTACGGTAGTTTCCTGGAATTATTGGCTGGTTCAGCAGAATCAGCTGTGCTCAGCAATGGAGTGACAGGTGGTGTAGGCAGTTCAACCTCATGTCCTTTTAGAAATACTGGGTGTGTGTGTGTCTGTGTGTGTGTGTGAGTGTGAGAGAGAGAGAGAGACCTATAAAGTGTTGATTTGGGGGGCTTAAAGAATTGTTAAAGCAGATATGTGTAAACTAGATCCTGATTTTCGTGTTTTACATTTTTGGGATCCTCTTTAGTCATCATTTATTTTTGTTGTTGCAGTGATTTGCTGTCCTCTGAATACATAGAGAGACACATTGAACATGGAGGCAAGACTGTGGAAGTTAAAGTAAGTGAAATTTTCCTACTTGTGGGGAAATTTGTTGAGAATCTTTTAATACTACTGATTATTATTTTAATTTTCAATGATATTTCTAATGTACAGTTTTGAGGGTTTTAAAAATACTTTATAATTTGAAGTTTTATCACCCACTTTGGAAAAATGAAACTTTACTTTTAGTTATCAGAAAAAGAATTTTTAGGGTACTGTAGGAATTGCTAGACTTAATGTTTTGTAGGATTGCTATAGCTGCAAGTACTAGGTTGGTGCAAAAGTCCTTGTGGTTTTTGTCGTTACTTTTAATGGCAAAAACCCCAATTATTTTATTTTATTTTATTTTATTTTTTTGAGACAAAGTCTCGCTCTTGTCGCCCAGCTGGAGTGCAATGGCGCGATCTCAGCTCACTGCAACAGCGCGATCTCGGCTCACTGCAAGCTCTGCCTCCTGGGTTCAAGTGATTCTCCTGCCTCAGTCTCCCGAGTAGCTGGGATTACAGGCGCCTGCCACCACACCTGGCTAATTTTTGTATTTTTAGTGGACAGGGGGTTTCACCATGTTGGCCAGGCTGGTCTCGAACTTCAGACCTCAGGTGATCCACCCGCTCCGGCCTCCCAAAGTGCTGGGATTACAGGCATGAGCCAACGCGCCTGGGAAACCCCAGTGACTTTTACACCAACCTTTAGTTCTTTCTTAGATTATGTCACTGAAAGTAGTTTTTGAAATTTGCCTTTAATGTTACCCCTGAGAACCAAGAGGTGAAAACTTGGGTCCAGGGTAGGTGTTTGCCTTTGCATTCAGCTGTGTAAGATTCCCAGCCCTGCCGCCCCTCCACCCTGCCCCACCCCACACCTCCACCAGTAAAATGTAAAATTGTTAGATCTACAGGAGATCAAGGAGTTAAAAATACCTGGAGACAGAAATCTCAGGATACTGGTTATGACAGGTAAACTGTGAAAATATTAACACAAAAATAAAAGCCTCCACCAGCTAGAGGCATAAGAATGTGGCGGTTTTCCCCCAGATCTGCAGATGGTATAATCTGAGAGCATATGAAAACAAAAGCCACCCAAGTGTAGGGCTTCCTTCTGCTCAGTGTTTAGTATAGTGACTTTTGGCCAAGTGTTTATTTTCTTCTGAATAGTGTTCAGACTATCTATTCTACTTTATCTGAATTATAATCCCACTCGTTCATATTCATTTCCTTTTTCTAATTACAAATTAGATAAATGCTCATTTTAGAAAACTTGTAAACAGAGAAAAGTTGAACAAAAAAGGAAAACTTTATCCTTAAACTCATCACTGAGAGATAAATGTTTTCATTTTGTTATTTGAGTGTTTTTTGTCATATGCACACATTTGTATATATACATAGATATTTATATAGTATCATATGTAGCTACAATATTGTATCTGCTTGCTTCTGTATCATTTTGTAAACATTTGCCAAGTTATTTTCCCATAAAGCCTTTGTTCAGTTTTTTATGTACATTTATTACATAGTAAAGCTTTTTATTTAAACTGTTATCAGTAACCAAAATAAATTATATTGTCCTATTCAAATGACATTCTGAAGATAATTGAGTTTTTCCATTACATATATATGTAAACTAAAAGAAAACTTTTCATTATGGAAAAGTTTAAACAGACTTTGAAGTGAAAAGAATGCTATAATGAGGGTCGGGAGCCAAGATGGCTGAATAGAACAGCTCCAGTCTACAGCTCCCAGCGTGAGCGATGCAGAAGACGGGTGATTTCTGCATTTCCAACTGAGGTACCGGGTTCATCTCACTGGGGAGTGCTGGACAGTGGGTGCAGGACAATGGGTGCAGTGTACCGTGCGTGAGCCAAAGCAGTGCGAGGCATCGCCTCACCTGGGAAGTGCAAGGGGTCAGGGAATTCCCTTTCCTAGTCAAAGAAAGGGGTGACAGACGACACCTGGAAAATCGGGTCACTCCCACCCTAATACTGCGCTTTTCCAACGGGCTTAACAAACGGCACACCAGGAGATTATATCCCACACCTGGCTCAGAGGGTCCTACACCCACGGAGTCTCGCTGATTGCTAGCACAGCAGTCTGAGATCAAACTGCAAGGTGGCAGCTAGGCTGGGGGAGGGGCGCTCACCATTGCCCAGGCTTCAGTAGGTAAACAAAGCAGCCCAGAAGCTCGAACTGGGTGGAGCCCACCACAGCTCAAGGAGGCCTGCCTGCCTCTGTAGGCTCCACCTCTGGGGGCAGGGCACAGACAAACAAAAGACAGCAATAACCTCTGCAGACTTAAATGTCCCTGTCTGTCAGCTTTGAAGACAGTAGTGGTTCTCCTAGCACGCAGCTTAAGATCTGAGAACGGGCAGAATGCCTCCTCAAGTGGGTCTGTGACCCCCGAGTAGCCTAACTGGGAGGCACCCCCCAGTAGGGTCAGACTGATGGACTGACACCTCACACAGCTGGGTACTCCTCTGAGACAAAACTTCCAGAGGAACGATCAGGCAGCAGCATTTGCAATTCCCCAATATCCACTTTTCTGCAGCCACCACTGCTGATACCCAGGCAAACAGGGTCTGGAGTGGACCTCCAGTAAACTCCAACAGACCTGCAGCTGAGGGTCCTGACTATTAGAAGGAAAACTAACAGAAAGGACACCCACACCAAAAACCCATCTGTACATCACCATCATCAAAGACCAAAGATAGATAAAACCACAAAGATGGGGAAAAAACAGAGCAGAAAAACCAGAAACTCTAAAAATCAGAGTGCCTCTCTTCCTCCAAAGGAGCGCAGCTCCTCGCCAGCAACGGAACAAAGCTGGACGGAGAATGACTTTGACGAGTTGAGAGAAGAAGGCTTCAGGAGATCAAACTACTCCGAGCTAAAGGAGGAAGTTTGAACCAATGGCAAAGAAGTTAAAAACTTTGAAAAAAAATTAGACGAATGGATAACTAGAATAACCAATGCAGAGAAGTCCTTAAAGGACCTGATGGAGCTGAAAACCATGGCACGAGAACTGCATGACGAATGCACAAGCCTCAGTAACCGATGTGATCAACTGGAAGAAAGGGTATCAGTGATGGAAGATGAAATGAATGAAATGAAGCGTGAAGAGAAGTTCAGAGAAAAAAGAATAAAAAGAAATGAGCAAAGCCTCCAAGAAATATGAGACTATGTGAAAAGACCAAATCTACGTCTAATTGGTGTACCTGAAAGTGACGGGGAGAATGGAACCAAGTTGCAAAACACTCTGCAGGATATTATCCAGGAGAACTTCCCAATCTAGCAAGGCAGGCCAACATTCAAATTCAGGAAATACAGAGAATGCCACAAAGATACTGCTCGAGAAGAGCAACTCCAAGACACATAATTGTCAGATTTACCAAAGTTGAAATGAAGGAAAAAATGTTAAGGGCAGCCAGAGAGAAAGGTCGGGTTACCCACAAAGGGAAGCCCATCAGACTAACAGCTGATCTCTTGGCAGAAACTCTACAAGCCAGAAGAGAGTGGGGGCCAATATTCAACATTCTTAAAAATAAGAATTTTCAACCCAGAATTTCATAACCAGCCAAACTAAGCTTCATAAGTGAGGGAGAAATAAAATACTTTATAGACAAGCAACTGCTGAGAGATTTTGTCACCACCAGGCCTGCCCTACAAGAGCTCCTGAAGGAAGCACTAAACAGGGAAAGGAACAACCGGTACCAGCCGCTGCAAAAACATGCCAAATTGTAAAGACCATCGAGGCTAGGAAGAAACTGCATCAACTAACGAGCAAAATAACCAGCTAACATCATAATGACAGGATCAAAATCACACATAACAATACTAACCTTAAATGTAAATGGGCTAAATGCTCCAATTAAAAGGCACAGACTGGCAAATTGGATAAAGAGTCAAGACCTATCAGTGTGCTGTATTCAGGAAACCCATCTCATGTGCAGAGACACACATAGGCTCAAAGTAAAGGGATGGAGGAAGATCTACCAAGCAAATGGAAAACAAAAAATGGCAGGGGTTGCAATCCTACTCTTGGATAAAACAGAGTTTAAACCAACAAAGATCAAAAGAGACAAAGAAGGCTATTACATAATGGTAAAGGGATCAATTCAACAAGAAGAACTAAGTATCCTAAATATATATGCACTCAATACAGGAGCACCCAGATGCATAAAGCAAGTCCTGAGTGACCTACAAAGAGACTTAGACTCCCACACAATAATAATGGGAGACTTTAACACCCCACTGTCAACATCAGACCGATCAACGACACAGAAAGTTAAGAAGGATATCCAGGAATTGAATTCAGCTCTGCACCAAGCAGACCTAATAGACATCTACAGAACTCTCCACCTCAAATCAACAGAATATACATTCTTTTCAGCACCACAGCACACCTATTCCAAAATTGACCACATAGTTGGAAGTAAAGCACTCTCAGCAAATGTGAAAGAACAGAAATTATAACAAACTGTCTCCCAGACCACAGTGCAATCAAACCAGAACTCAGGATTAAGAAACTCACTCAAAACCGCTCAACTACATGGAAACTGAACAACCTGCTCCTGAATGACTACTGGGTACATAATGAAATGAAGGCAGAAATAAAGAGGTTCTTTGAAACCAACGAGAACAAAGATACAACATACCAGAATCCCTGGGACACATTCAAAGCAGTGTGTAGAGGGAAATTTATAGCACTAAATGTCCACAAGAGAAAGCAGGAAAGGTGTAAAATTGACACCCTAACATCACAATTGGAAGAACTAGAAAAGCAAGAGTAAACACATTCAAAAGCTAGCAGAAGGCAAGAAATAACTAAAATCAGAGCAGAACTGAAGGAAATAGAGACACAAAAAGCCCTTCAAAAAATCAATGAATCCAGGAGCTGGTTTTTTTTAAAAGATCAACAAAATTGATAGACCGTTAGCAAGACTAATAAAGAAGAAAAGAGAGAAGAATCAAATAGACGCAATAAAAAATGACAAAGGTGATATCTCCACCGATCCCACAGAAATACAAACTACCATCAGAGAATACTACAAACACCTCTATGCAAATAAACTAGAAAATCTAGAAGAAATGGATAAATTCCTTGACACATACACTCTCCCAAGACTAAACCAGGAAGAAGTTGAATCTCTGAATAGACCAATATTGAAATTGAGGCAATAATTAATAGCTTACCAACCAAAAAAAGTCCAGGACCAGATGGATTCACAGCTGAATTCTACCAGAGGTACAAGGAGGAACTGGTACCATTCCTTCTGAAACTATTCCAATCAATAGAAAAAGAGGGAATCCTCCCTAACTCATTTTATGAGGCCAGCATCATCCTGATACCAAAGCCTGGCAGAGACACACAAAAAAAGAGAATTTTAGATCAATAACCTTGACGAACATTGATGCAAAAATCCTCAATAAAATACTGGCAAACCGAATCCAGCAACACATCAAAAAACTTATCCACCGTGATCAAGTGGGCTTCATCCCTGGGATGCAAGGCTGGTTCAACATACAAAAATCAATAAACGTAATCCAGCATATAGACAGAACCAAAGACAAAAACCACATGATTATCTCAATAGATGCAGAAAAGGCCTTTGACAAAATTCAACAGCCCTTCATGCTAAAAACTCTCAATAAATTAGGTATTGATGGGACGTATCTCAAAATAATAAGAGCTATCTATAACAAACCCACAGCCAATATCATACTGAATGGGCAGAAACTGGAAGCATTCCCTTTGAAAACCGGCACAAGACAGGGATGCCCTCTCTCACCACTCCTATTCAACATAGTGTTGGAAGTTCTGGCTAGGGCAGTCAGGCAGGAGAAGGAAATAAAGGGCATTCAATTAGGAAAAGAGGAAGTCAAATTGTCCCTGTTTGCAGATGACATGATTGTATATCTAGAAAACCCCATTGTCTCAGCCCAAAATCTCCTTAAGCTGATAAGCAACTTCAGCAAAGTCTCAGGATACAAAATCAATGTCCAAAAATCACAAGCATTCTTATACACCAATAACAGACAGAGAGCTAAATCATGAGTGAACTCCCATTCACAATTGCTTCAAAGAGAATAAAATACCTAGGAATCCAACTTACAAGGGATGTGAAGGACCTCTTCAAGGAGAACTACAAACCACTGCTCAAGGAAATAAAAGAGGATACAAACAAATGGAAGAACATTCCATGCTCATGGGTAGGAAGAATCAATATCGTGAAAATGGCCATACTGCCCAAGGTAATTTATAGATTCGATGCCATCCCCATCAAGCTACCAATGACTTTCTTCACAGAATTGGAAAAAACTACTTTAAAGTTCATATGGAACCAAAAAGAACCCACATTGCCACGTGAATCCTAAGCCAAAAGAGCAAAACTGGAGGCATCATGCTACCTGACTTCAAACTATACTACAAGGCTACAGTAACCAAAACAGTATGGTACTGGTACCAAAACAGACATATAGACCAATGGAACAGAACAGAGCCCTCAGAAATAACGCCGCATATCTACAACTATCTGATCTTTGACAAACCTGAGAAAAACCAGCAATGGGGAAAGGATTCCCTATTTAGTAAATGGTGCTGGGAAAACTGGCTAGCCATAAGTAAAAAGCTGAAACTGGATCCCTTCCTTACACCTTACACAAAAATTAATTCAAGATGGATTAAAGACTTAAATGTTACACCTAAAACCATAAAAACCCTAGAAGAAAACCTAGGCAATACCATTCAGGACATAGGCATGGGCAAGGACTTCATGTCTAAAACACCAAATGCAATGGCAACAAAAGCCAAAATTGACAAGTGGGATCTAATTAAACTAAAGAGCTTCTGCACAGCAAAAGAAACCACCATCAGAGTGAACAGGCAACCTACAAAATGGGAGAAAATTTTTGCAGCCTACTCATCTGACAAAGGGCTAATATCCAGAATCTACAATGTACTCAAACAAATTTACAAGAAAAAAACAAACAACCCCATCAAAAAGTTTGCAAAGGATATGAACAGACACTTCTCAAAAGAAGACATTTATGCAGCCAAAAAACACATGAAAAAATGCTCACCATCACTGGCCATCAGAGAAATGCAAATCAAAACCACAATGAGATACCATCTCACACCAGTTAGAATGGCGATCATTAAAAAGTCAGGAAACAACAGGTGCTGGAGAGGATGTGGAGAAATAGGAACACTTTTACACTGTTGGTGGGACTGTAAACTAGTGCAACCATTGTGGAAGTCAGTGTGGCGATTCCTCAGGGATCTAGAACTAGAAATGCCATTTGACCCAGCCATCCCATTAGTGGGTATATACCCAAAGGATTATAAATCATGCTGCTATAAAGACACATGCACATGTATGTTTATTGTGGCACTATTCACAATAGCAAAGAGTTGGAACCAACCCAAATGTCCAACAACGATAGACTGGATTAAGAAAATGTGGCACACATACATCATGGAATACTATGCAGCCATAAAAAATGATGAGCTCATGTCCTTTGTAGGGACATGGATGAAGCTGGAAACCATCATTCTCAGCAAACTATTGCGAGGACAAAAAACCAAACACCGCATGTTCTCACTCATAGGTGAGAATTGAACAGTGAGAACACATGGACACAGGAAGGGGACCTTTACACACTGGGGACTGTTGTGGGGTGGGGGACTGGGGGAGGGATAGCATTAGGAGATATACCTAATGCTAAATGATGAGTTAATGGGTGCAGCACACCAACATGGCACATGTATACATATGTAACAAACCTGCACGTTGTTCCCATGTACCCTAAAACTTAAAGTATATAAAAAAAAGAATGCTATAATGAAACCCCCCATTCCCATCATCCAGCATCAATAGTTATCAACACTTTGACTATCTTTTTTTTCTCTTTTTACTTTGTGTTTGTGTGTGTGTGTGTGTGTGTGTGTGTGTGTGTGTGTGTGTGTGTGTATGTGTAGTATTTTAAAGCAAATTCCAGACTTTAGGACATTTTGTCAGTAAATACCTCCTGTATACCTATACATTTCTAATTCATAATGACTTAAAATCTGGTAATTCTTGTAAGCGACCTAGATGTAATAATTATGCCTGTCTCTCCAGAAAGTTATTCGGAACTGAAGATTGGTGAATTGAATGGTGGATTAATTTATATTACTGCCTCCCTACAGAAAGGACAGGATTCATCTAGATATAACATGGGAGAATGGAGCCATTTTGTTTATAGTTGGGAAAAAAAAATTACCTAGGGCTAGAATCTCCAGGTCCTTTTATTCCCATCCCTTTTCATTTGGCTTCACTTCTCTATTTTGTATGATAATGTTTTTCTGATGTAGAGTATCTCTTATTCCCTTGTTAAATTAAAGAGGAAAGGAAACAGGCCATTCACTATCTATTTCTATCTGTGTCTGTCAGTGGAATGATGAAATGCAAATAGGAGCATGGAGGGTGGACCCAGCAGACAGCTCTCTGCTGTCTCTACAGTAATATCCTTTTTCAGAAAAATTGTACCTAATCAGCAAAGTGCACTTCACTCTGGGATCTTAAGGCTCCTTGGGTATACGTAACTCATGAAGCGCTGACTTTGCTGCACAATCTTTGCTGATTTTCCAACCTGAGATTTGCAGTTTCTTTGTTGATGGTTTTTCTAACCCCTAAGCCTGTCATACCAGGGAAATGATAAATACAAACTTTGTCCAGACTGAAGGGCCAGTGGTGGTTTATTTTTCCCTTTAAGAAAACTGCTTTGATCTCACCTGTCACCTCCATTTGTTTCCACTCCATTTGAAAATCTAACTCAAAATTCTCCTCTGGGTTTTTCCAGGAACCACATTGAAAATGCTGAATTCTGCCCATCAATCCAAAGTCAGTAGCCAATTATTTCTCTGCTGGTTCCCTCCTGTCTCGACTTCTGTGCTTAGCTCTTTGAGATGTTTCTTTTTACATGAAATCTGATAGAAGTCTATTTTCTTTATTAATGACTCATTAATACATTATAAATCAAAGTTGTAACGTTTTATATTTTTTCCTTCCCTGCAGTACCTTTTTAAAAAGCAACTCTTAAAACTTTTACTTCTTTACCTTCCATGTTAGTTTGCTAAAGCTACCATAACAAAGTACCACAGACTGGGTGGCTTAAACAATAGAAATGTATGTTCTCTCAATTCTGAAAGCTAGAAGTCCAAGATCAAGATGTTGACAGGGTTGGTTTCTGCCGAGGCCTCTCTCCTTGGTTTGTGCATGGTTTTCTTCCTGTGTCTTCACATGGCTTTCCCTCTGTGTATATCTGCATCCTAATCTCTTCTTGTGAGAACATCATTCCTATTGAACTAGGACCCAACCTAATAACCCTGTTTTAACTGCGTTACCTCTTTAGAGACCCTGTCTCTACATACAGTTATATTCTGAGGTATTAGGGGTTAGGACTTTAACATATGCATTTTGGGGGAACACAATCCACCTGTAACACCTTCCTTAAGAGCCCTGTAAGTTTTTTTGTTTTTTCTTAAAGTTGGCTTTTCTCTTGGGACTGAAGTAAATGAAAGGAAATATGAAATCAAAGCTAAACTCTAAGAGCTTCTTGTGTCAGTTTGCACAAGCATGGCCATATGTATCCTAAGGATGCAAATTTAAAATTAAAGTGTTATTCCAAATTTAACAATGGCTAGAAACCAGTTGATAAATGGCTGTACTCAGGTGTCTTTGAACTTTTGGTAAAGAATACATTTTTCAGGAAAAAACATTTTTAAAAAAGAGCTGGATGCAGTGTCATGCCTGTTTGCACCTACCAAGGAGGCTGAGGTGGGAGGATCACTTGAGCTCAAGAGTTCAAAGCCAGCCTGGGTAACATAGCAAGAGACTGTCTTGAACAACAACAACAAAATCATGATAAATCTTTTAGATTGCAATTTTATTTTTAAAAACCTATATGGTAAAATATACAACTGACACAGAAATTCACATAAAACATGTATGGGTTGATGAAATACTAAAGGCAAACAATTTTATATTGACCATTCAGTTCAAGAAATAAAGCTCGGCCAGCTGTTTATTTGCTGCATCCCAAGCCCTTTTCATCCTCCTCTTGTAAGATTTGTAAACACTATCCTGACTTTTATCATAACCCCTTCCTTGCTTTTGTTTATAGTTTTATCACCAAAGCATGTACCCCTACAGTTTAATTTTGGCTGTGTAGGTTTTAAAAATAATTTTTGCCTGGGCACAGTGGCTCACGCCTGTAATTCCAGCACTTTGGGAGGCCGAAGCAGGGGGATCACGACGTCAGGAGATCGAGACCATCATGGCTAACACGGTGAAACCCCGTCTCTACTAAAAATACAAAAAATTAGCTGGGCGTGGTGGCATGCACCTGTAATCCCAGCTACTCAGGAGGCTGAGGCAGGAGAATCGCTTGAACTCAGGAGTTGGAGGTTGCAGTGAGCTGAGATTGCGCCACTGCACTCCAGCCTGGGCGACAGAGCAAGACTCTGTCTCAAAAATAAAATAAAATAATAATGTTTTAAAAATTATCTTTCTCTTTTGTCCCCCCCTTGCAATTTATTTGTTGAAGAAACCAGATTGTTTATCCTATGTAATTTCCTACAATCTGGATTTTGATGTTGATTGCAATTTTGTATTTAGTGTAAAAACAGACACATTTTGGTGATTGTTCCTTAACATAATGATTTGTGTTATCTGCAGGGACATCATCAGCCTCATTGAAATCAGTTTATCTTGTTCATGTAGCTGTGCATAATTCTGATATAAAAGTTATATTAAAACTTAAAAAGAATTTTTTTCAAAGGTTACAAAAATAAAGTCTTTATGCAAGAAAAGAAAGATACTTTTTATTCCTTTAATGGGACATATTAATCTTTCACTTACGTTTATTTTCAATCCATTTAAAAATTAAATTCTTAATTTACTCATCTGTTCAGGGAGAACTTTTATATGATTGACACGGACTTCTAAAAGAATTTTAAAGTAAAGCCTCAACTAATCAGAATACCTTGGGAATACAACTTTAATTCTGATTATGGAGAACCATCGTTCTGGATTCATAAGACAAAGGACATTGGAATTGATGAGTAGTGGCAGCAGAGTCTCAGCCATGCAGTTTGCTGCTTTATAGCTTGTTTTGTCTTGAAACAGAAAGCTGCTAATATATGGGGCTAATTGAAATGAACAGTTATATAGGCTTTAGTTAATCAGTATTATAATGCTAACAGTAATAACTATTTATTACAGTAATAACTTTTATTGTATGATGTGATAGTCACATAAATTTGTATGTACCATTCAATCCTCAAGACAACCTGTAAATACAACTATTATCCTAATTTACAGAAACGAGACACAGAGAAGATATACAACTTGTGAAAGTAACGTAGTAAGGAGTAATAAAGCTGCAGTTTGAATCTAGATTCTCTAACTCCAGAGCTGACTCTTACATGTATAATATTTTATATACTATACAATGTACACCATACATTCGGTGTACATTCTATAATATGTAAAATAAGAGGCATAAAAATTGAAATGTATTTTATTTTTATACTCATGGTATACATATCTAATTCATTTTTGGTATCTAACAATTTCTCCTTTATGGTCTTTAATCCTTAAACTGAAATGGTGATCTACATCAAGACCCTTTAGGCATTTCTCTCAAATTCAGTTATGCATTTAGGTAGTTTTTCTGTAATATCAGTTGCCTTGGGCAAGAATGGTAAAAGACACACTCCAGGCCAAAGCTTGTTTTATTTTTGTTTGAATGAACGTATGAGGAAAATAACCATAGTATGAATTTTAGAAAACTAAGAGAGGAATGTCAAATCCTTTATATAGGTCAGGAATGTGTGTAGATGGGGCAGGGAACAGATTTTCTTGTGGCCAAAAAGTAAAAGTAGACATCTTTGTAGAGATATGATTTATTATATCACCAATGAAAGATCATGACAGTCAGGCATATTCTGACTATTAGCATTGTTCTGATAATATTTCTTGGTGAAATTATTTGATCTGATATGATTATAGTAAAAAGTAATCATCAGTGAATGTCTATGTGTATTAGCTCAAGTTATTTCTAAACTACTGTATATGAGCATTCCCAACTTGTCTTAGGATTAGATTCCTAATCCTTAACGATGAGTTTGTACAGAGACATCCGTTACACAATATTGACTTTTGACTGGTAATTAACTGTTTACGACTCATCATTTGATTGAATTGAGTGCACTCAAGAATCACTGCATCAAAATCTTAATTGTATTCATAGTTGCAGTAAAAAGATGAATAAGTAAGCAAAGGAGTGCGGGCCACCATTGAAGTCTGGAAATGAGTAAAGGAATTGGAGAGAGTGCTGTGCGTTGAAGGGCAGTTGTCAGAGGAGAAAGGAATACATAAGGGTGGGAGAGGTTATTATGACTCTAGGGAACCTTTTACTCTGGTGGTAGTATAGTTACATTCAATGACATAAAAGTTATATTTATTTAGGAAAACTGAAAATGGCCACTATCATCTGTGGAAACAAAGTAACAAGGAATTTGAGTTAGTAGCAAGGAGGAAGCCTGAGTTTTTATCCAGAATAGTTTTCTGCTTCTGTTCACATCTGTCTTCCCTCCCTGGGGTGGGAGCCCCATGATAGATTTCTAACTTAGCACAATACCATCTCCCAGCAGGCACCTATGCTGCTAGCAGAGTCTCTAGATTCCTTTTGTGCTCATTTTTCTAAGTCAGATTTCCATTTCTTCTTTCTTAAAAAAGGGATACCTTTTAAAAATCCTGCCTTAATCGTTTAGTTTTCCCCAGTGAATGTGTCAATGACAGGAAAAAAAAAAAAACACTAGTAGAGGACAGCTGTAAGAAATCACTTAGAAAATTTTAAATATAGTGACTGTCAGGACAACAGATGCCTCCCTGGCTAACTTTATAATTCCTGTGAACTTGAACAGCAGTGATAGAAAATTTCTTGCGATCTCAAATTGTATTCAGGATTTCTCATGTCACCTCTTCTAGATTTCCCCGCAAGGACCATACTTCTCAATACTTGAATAACTCGAAAGGTACACAACGTGTTAGAGAAATAATGTTTCTTAAGATATCTTTTAAAATGTATTGTTTGTAAAAACAACAACAATCCAAAATTATATGTGCAATATAACACCGTGGACTCCTTTTGTAAGTGAAATATATTCTCAGTTTGTCATTAGTGACAGAGTTCAGTTTATATACGATATAGGTTATAGTTTAGTGACTGCATTCCATTTCTTTTTTTTTTAATGACAGTACTTATACTTAACATATTCTGTTATGGGACATAGATTTTTTTTCTGAGTCCAGTGCAAATTGAATAGTAAAGAATTGCTTGAATTGTTTCTTTTTTGGCCATGGGAAGCACACAAGTAGCTATTAAACTGTCAAAGTGGCTCATATTTATTGCAACAGAAAAGATGAACACAGGGGTTAATTTGCTTTTGCTTACCCTGGATATAAAATTTCCTTATTGATTCTTAAAACTGCATTACCATACAGAATCTTGGCTCTTTCTATAAGAGTAAGAAGAGTAAGCAATTAAATATATATATAAAAAAAGAAAAAACAGACCTTGGTGTGCAGTAAATTTTGCTGCATGCGTTATTAGTACAGAGCTATCCATACCCTTGCATCAATGATGAATCTTCTGAAGTAGAGACTTGTGTGTTTTTTCAAGTAGGTTTTTAGGTTATCTTTTGTTTTGGATGCAGTCTTTGAGATAAAATGTGAGCAACAGCCACTGTTACCAAGTAATCTATACTAAGGCTTTTTCCTTTACTCTCATTTTCATTTTTCTTTTCCAATAGAGCAACTCAGCAACAGCATTTCTCTTCCAAAGTGCCTTCCTTATTTACAGCTTTCCCTTGCATTTGAGAAACATGCTTTCTGTCTTGAATTCTCACTTCAGTAGCTTCTCCAGAAACTCTTGGATAAGGCTCTTGGATAATACTTAGTCACCTAGACAGTAATTAAGTCACATGATTTAGGAAGATGGCTTTAGAAATGATGTTTTTCCTTTTGAAACAGATCTATTTATAGAAGTTGTCACTTAAGCTCTTAATTTTATCACCAAATTTCAAATCCAAGTTTCAGGCATTTTCCTTGGCTCTGTGGAGATGGGGAGGCTGCTTTCCAAGTAAACAAGCTCAGTGATGTGCATTTTAAGGGCCGGCTGATGGGCAGAGTGTCAACTGAGGGCCTTCAGTCATTGGAGGTCTCCTGCTGCCATGGTAATTGGAATTTCTTTTTTCTAAAAAGAACAGCTATATTGAGGTATAGTTCACATAGCATAAACTGAGGTGAGTTTTGGTCTCCATTTTGTCTGCTAGGGAACATAGATTCTTTAACAGTGTGTGTGTAAATACAGTTGATTAAAATGATCACAAACAATTAATGAAGCAATGATAGGGTTGTTTGGCAGATGTGACTACCTGTATGTTAAAATCTGTTTTTATGTTTTCCTTGCTGCACTTGCTGGGAGATTTAGGTTAAGGACTCTTGCTGTTAAGCTTAAACTCTGAGAGCAGAACTTTTGGTGTGGAACAAAGAGAACCCTCAGGTGCAGGTGTTACAGGTTGTGGCATGAGCATGCAGGTACCTCACATAGGTTCTCTCAGACAGGAGAGGAAATTTTGGATGGTATAGCTATGAACATGGTGTCTTTCTATGCTAATCAGAACCAAGTTAACCACAAATACACAGATTTTAAAATTAGGTGACTTGCAAAAATTTATTTTCAAGACCATTCTCTGAAAAACAGTTTGGCCACGACTTAATGTCAGTTTGACTAGTAATGAAACTAAAATGACTTTAAAAATATTTATCAATACATCTTCATACATGAATATTTAGTTGTTAGCTGTAGGTAGGCTAGCTTTAAACATTATTATATTTTAATGACTCCATTCTCCCCTAATTACTGAAATAAAATGATTTTTTTAAAACCTCAGGATATAAAGATCCTACAAGAATAAGAGCTCAACTTTCTAAAAGTGATTCCATAAGTAGGGTTCACCATATGGTAATTTAATGAGAAATTATTGAATTGAATTTCATGGTGCTTATGGGAAACAATATTAAGATCTTCTGATTTAGAGATGATTCTGTAATTGCAGATAGGGCCAACACAGGAAACCGTGTCCCTTGGTTCCTGTGGGTTTGAGCTGTTGCCCATTTTTAAGTACTTTCATTTTTAAATAGTGAATTGTGTCAGAGGAATACTCATTAATTTTCTCTGTTACTCGTTCAAGAACTGTGATATTCTCACAGAAGTATTTTAAATACTGAACAAAAGTTTATCTGGAAATATTATAGTTTTGATGGTTAGTATATGTAAGTCATAGTGAGCTAGCTTCATTGATTAATAATTACTGTATATTGCTGTCCTGTAGAAAGATTATGCTTTCATATACTGTCTATTAACTCAGGCTCCCTAACTCAGTCTTAGGGGCAAATAACTGCCGCCAGTAATTTACTGTTAGTCATTTGGAAGAGTTAACCTTTTCTCCTTACAAATCCAAACTCATTTTGCTTACTTAAGGCTACTGATGGATTATTCTTTTTAGTTAATGACACTCATCTTAATGGAATTAAAAAATATAATGACTTGTTGTATTTCTGTTTTACATCATTGTCAAAGTCTTGTATTTTTACAAATAAATATTATATATTCCTATAAGTGCTCACTTTAACACCAGGGATTTCCTGTATTATGCAATCTGTATGTCTTTCAATCCTATGATATTCAGATGAGATCAATACTAGTAACTGGATTTAGGATTAATAAAAGTACTGGTAGCAGTTGGAGTAATAGCAAATACTTGTATGGTATTTACTATGTGCTAGATGCCAGTCTAAGTGTTTCACATATGTTAAGTCATTTTATCCCCAAGTAATACCACTGTTATCCTCATTTTGCAGATGAGGAAATGAAGGCACAGAAAGTTTAACTAACTTGCCCAAGAATTTTAAGAAAGGAAGTCTGGCACCAGAATGTGTGCTATAATCTACTGTAGTTTATCCTCCCTATGGAAATAAATGATCATAATAGCAGAGGAATTAGAATGCAAATATTTTAATTACAGCCCTTCTACAATTTACCATTTGTAATTCACCGTCTCTTTTAGTAGTTGTTTTAATAGGCCAGAATTGAAGATGTGTTAGTTCAGGTGAGTCCCAATTATTCCAATATAAAATTTTCTTTATTCCAAAGACCAATGCCTTCTAAAGACTCCCCCACCCCCCGCTTTTTTTAAAAACTATTTCATTTTGGAGTTCATTTTTAGTCCTTCTTTGTTCTTCATAGAAGTTGGATTGTGTATTGTTCAGCACAGGGGAGCACCATCGCTTCAAATCATTATAGTTTGAAATATGTTACTGTCTTGCACATGGCAAACACATGGCTCAGTTTATGCCCATCTTTTGCCTATGTGTAAATTTATCTGCATCTGGAGTAAATGTGAAGTTTTATGGGCAAGAGTAACTAAGCTGAAACATACCATTATCCTGCCAAGAGACTAGAAGATATTTGATTGTATCTCTGCCAAAGAGCTTCAAAATACCCATCCCCCCTACCTCTTTTACCCTCCGTTCCACAACATACACAGCCCGCAAGCAGGAAGAGAGTAAAAGAGCCATACAAATCTAACAAACAAACTGATAAAGTGTTTATTTCCTCCTCACATGTAATATCAGTTATTCCAGATATGTTTCCTAACTTTACATGTAACATCAGTTATTCCAGGTATGTTTCCTAACTTTACTTTTTATCTGCCACTAGGCATCATTTAGTATCTTCTGGATGAGCTTATTGATGTGTGCATTTCCCCCCTGGCAGGCTTATGCAGACATATGCTCCTCTGCCATCTTGTAATCAGTGTGGTTTCAGGAAGGTCTCAGATTTCATGATTTAATTCTCTTTGCATTATAGGAAAAAAATTTGGGGGGATTAAGTAAATTTTGCTTTCTCTTGGGACTGAAGCAAGGTTGCTCTAGGTCCATCATCATGTATAATGCATCAACTGCCTTAATGGCATTGTTAAGATTGCAAGTGGTCTTAACTCTGTATCCTGAGGAAAATATGTTGGCCCATTGCCAGTTTATACAGGTCAGGTGTCTTAGTGCTGGAAGAAAGGAAAAATGAAAAGTGACAGCTGCTGTCAGCATGAGTTCTGTTCCTAAGCTCTGTTTGTAACCTATTTGAGTAGAAAGTCCTTTATTTTCTTTCTGGTATAAGATTTTTTTTCCCCCAGTTAACTATCTAAAGAGTTATTTCATCTGTTAATGTTCAAGATGTTATCTATAAACTTAAAAGACATATTCAGCCATAAGTTTTTTTAAAAATCAAAGTAGCACTAACTGATGATATTTCCATGTATGGAACTAATTAGCTATTTTATAATAGAATTTACTATTTTAATTCTAATTATAGAACTAACCTTTTCATTATAGAATGTCTTTTCCAAATCTACTCTTGCAATTTTTTTGAAACTAGAGTGAACTATTACAGTAATTATAATTGAACAGAAAGTAGTAGAAATACTGTTTTTGATTTTAAACTGGTTTGAAGCAAAAAAAAAAAATCACAAATTATTCCCTTGGTGTTGTCATAAGCTACAATTATTTTCCTATTCATTAATAAAAATACCTTAGTTTCCAGTGAATAAGGTGTGGCCACTATAAAATCAGAAAAGGTAATAAAGACCAGAGAATATATACTATTGGTATTGAGTGGTTTGAGTGTTTACAGCCTTTTTGAAGGAGGATAATTGATCAGTGCTACATTTGATGTTTTTTGTTTTGTTTTGTTTCTTTTTTTCTTTCTTTTTGTTGTTGTTGTTTGTTTGTTTTGAGACAGGGTCTCACTCTATCTCCCAGGCTGGAGTGCAGTGGCGCAGTCTTGGCTCGCTGCAGACTCAGAGTCCCAGGCTCAAGTGATTTTGCCACCTGAGTCCTAAAAGTAGCTGGGACTACAGGTGCATGTCATCATGCCCGGCTAATTTTTGTATTTTTAGTGGAGATGGGGTTTCACCACGTTACCCAGGCTGGTCTCAAATTCAAGTGATCTACCTGCCTCAGTCTCCCAAAGTGTTGAGATTACAGGCATGAGCCACTGCATCTGGCCACATTTGATATTTTATCATAACACTATTTTCTTTGCACCTATGAGGTAGAAAAAGAGCAGATGGACTTGATTTTCCCCATAGCCACTCATAAAAACTCAGGCATGTGGAGTTTAAGTGGCTGGAAAGCTGACATGAGAGATTTACAGTGGAATAGAAAAAAAGCCATAATTCTCAGATACTCAATGTGTGTTCTCAACCCTCATTTATTCAATAGACATGAGTTGAGTGCTTGCCAGGGGCCAGTGACAGGGATATAGCTATAAACAACAGATGATGCATTTCTTGCCCTCATGAAGCTTGTCCTTTAGTAGGAGAGACAGGCATGATGCAGGCAACTACTGAGAACTCTTTGTAAATGATAGAAATGATAAGTGTTGAAAAGAATTACATGTTGCTCTGAGGGCACTTGCTGGGAGACCTGACCTCATCTGGTTGGTCAGGGAAGACTTTCTTGAGGAAATGATATTATTTCCAAAGTTCAAAAAATAACAGGTGAATGAAATGGGAGCAGAACAACTTTTCAGGTAGTCAAATCAGCATGTGCAAAGGCCAGAGGCCTTGATGCAGGATCTTGGTGTGTGAAAGGGGCAGAAAGAAACCAGAGAAGGTGGACAGAATAAGAGGTGGAGCAAGTGCACAGGAAGAAAAGGGATGAAAGTAGGAGGATGGTATTTGACCAGAGCCTCAACTCAGAAGAATCAGGTACAATGTAAAGGAAATCAGACTAACAGTGTTTTTGGACTTCCTACATTGGTCACTTTTTGCCTTCGTTTTCTCTTCTCTTGAAAATCTGGAAATTATTTTCTAACTCTGTGGATGGCAGAGTGGTTGCTTTGGTAATTCTGAGTGGGGTTAATAGGTATTCCACATAGCAATTAGATTTTTGGACAGAGTAAATGCTATTTTCTTGAAGTCCTGCTGTCTTTCTGATTAAATAAAAAAAATAAACTTCTTGAATTGTGTTAACAAATGGTACCCATTTTTTGGTTGTTATTTTTAACTCCAGGACATATCTGTGGTTTGAGGACAGTAAAGCTTAGAGACCATGAATATTGTGAGGGCTAGAAGGACCTAAACTCAAATCCTGACTTTGCCAGTTAATATACGTACGTCCTTAGACAATTTACTTATGCCTCCTATACTTCATTTTCCTCCTCTGTTAAACAAGACAAACATGTAGCTCAGAGCTTTGGGTGTGGGAAATACTCCATAAATATTAGTTCTGATATCATTATTGAGGTAAAGTGGCAATTTGTACAGAATTTCTGGCAAAGTCTTTGGTGGCTTCTACCCATTCTTACTGCTAGTTTCTGATTCCACTCATGACAGGAAGCATGTCAGGATCACCAGCGGCAGTTCTTTACTTCCTGCTTTATAAGACAATTTTCTGTGCCTCTAGACTGTAAATTCCATAAGAAGTTCCTCCAAGAGAAGCACCCACGGGAACTTGTACTATATTCTCAGCATTTAGCATAATATTTGTTCATAGAAGACAATAAGTATCTGCTGAATGAAAAAAATAAGTGAAAGAATTAATCCAGGTATTAGAAAATTGAGTGGTTTCTCCTGTTCACCCAACAGTATGTCAGATGTGTAGGGGAAAGTACAGCCTGGACAGGTCTGGGAACGCATATTATTCCCCCTGCTATCAAAATATGCAGTGAATATAAACAGGAAAAATAAAAACTGATAGCCTTATAATCGGCTTGCCTGATGGTAAGCGCATCCTCCACACAGAGGCTCACATTCATGCGTTTTCTTTCTAAGGTATTTTAGAGCCACGTCTGATCAGTTTTAAATTTTAAGTCACCAAATATCAACAATTGGCCTGCGATAAAAATCTCTATAATCGTGAAATGTTTTAAACATGTTAAAAATTGTATAAAATACCTCAACAGACATCCACGTGTAGATTTAACATAGTTCAGTGTTTTGCTATATTAGCTTTTAAATCTTTTCATGGTTTTAAAATCTACTAATTGTGTATCAGCATGTCTCCTGTTAGTTTTTATTTTTATTCTTGCCTTGACTCTTTTACTTGATCAATCTTGTTAGAATTTTTTGTAAATACTCTCTCCCCACCCGCCCCCCACCCCCCCTTTTTTTAAAGACAGGGTCTCACTCTGTTGCTCAGGCTGGAGTGCAGTGGTGCGATCATAGCTCACTGTAAACTCGAACTCCTAGCAGTACTTCTCCCTCAGTCTCCTGAGTAGCTGGGACTATAGGCATGTGCTGCCACACTAATTTTTTAATTTTTACTTTTAGTAGAGACCAGGTCTCACTATGTTTCCCAGACTGGTCTCGAACTCCTGACCTCAAGCAATCCTCTCGCCTCAGCGTCCCAAAGTGCTGGGATTACAGGCATGAGTCATTGTGCCTGGCTGAAAATACTTTTTTTTTTTTTTCCCCCAAAGAACCAGCTTTACTTTCTTTACCAAAATATATTTTTCAATAATTTCTGCTCTTACTTTTGTAATTTCCTTTTTTCTGCTCTGAAATTTCTGCTTTTCTTTTCATAATTCATTTAGTTAAATATTTAATTTGTTAATTACCAATCTTCTTTTCTATATGCATCTAAGAATTTAAAATTTACTCAAGTACCATTTTAGCAGCATCCTAAAGCTCTGCTACATAGTTTTTTTTTGCTGTTGTCCACACACACATATATATATATTCCATAACTTATACTATGACTTTATATGACTCATAAATTATTTATATTTTTAGAAATAATATAATATTTTAAAAAATTGTATATTTGGTATTTTAAAAATTTCCAAACATATGAACATCTTTGTTGTTGGTTTTAAATTCTATTCCTTTGTGGTAAGTGCAGTGTACAAGATATTGATTCTTTGGAAGTTGGCCTTGTATTTAAAAGAAAAGTAACCTGTGATTTTTTAAAACAGTTTGCAAATCATGGAACAAGAAGGGACTCTGGTGGTTCAACTCCCTTCTTGATTTATGGAAACATAAGTAACAGAAATAGTGAATGATCAGCTTATTCTCATAGAAACACTTGCTGGGAAAAAAAGCACTTTACTTTTTCATGCTTAGCATCACTTTTCATTAGATACAACCTTAAATATTAATTTGCTTTCCATGAAGGATATTGTTTGAGACCTCTTTAGTAATCTGACTCTTTTTACCTGTTAATAAATCCTGGGCTAATCCAAAATCATTTATGCAGAGATAAAAATGACCACTGAATGCTAGTATTAACTGCTTGAGCTTAGCATGTAAGGCTCAAGGTGCAAGAGAGCCTTACATGCTCTCTTGGACGTGCTGCAACCAGAATCTTTTTTTCTTTTCTTTTTTTTTTTTTTTTTTGAGACAGAGTCTCACTCTGTCACCCAGGCTGGAGTACAGTGGCACCATCTCGGCTCACTGCAACCTCCACCTCCCACGTTCAAGCGATTCTTGTGCCTCAGCCTCCCCAGTAGCTGGAATTACAGGTGTGCGCCATTATGCCCGGCTAATTTTTGTATTTTTAGTAGAGACAGGGTTTCACCATGTTAGCCAGGTCTCAAACACCTGACTTCAAGCGACCCACCCGCCTCAGTCTCCCAAAGTTCTAGGATTACAGGCATGAGCCTCTGTGCCTGGCTGCAACAGAATCTTTTAGCGGCCAGAAATTTTCTCTTTATCCTTCCTTCTTCAAAAAAGGAATGGAGGATAGAATTGAAGTGAAACTAAAGGAGGTTATGTTTATGGTAAAAGTGGAGAAAAAACGATTTCCTTTTTTTCCTTACCTTAGACCCTCATATAGTTGTGTTTCCTTAAAAAAAAAAAAAAAGAAAACAACAACAAACATCTTTTTCAGATATGACAAAAGAAAATTCCTCCTGTATTTTAGGAATGCACAAATATGTTTTCTCTTTGTGCAACAATCATCTAGTCAGTTATGTTTTTTCCTGTTACTAGTCAAACATCAACTACAGAATAAGGTTTTAGGTAATTCACAGTCTTTATGCTAAAAAGTCCATATAGAGTAATGCATTTAAATTTTATTATTCATAAAAAGGTACAATGATATAGTGGTTTCCTGGAAAGAGTTATAATTTCATGAGTTTGTAATTATATAGTAATTATATATTATGTGGTCCACATTGATTTTCCATTCTCCCAATTTAGAACTACATCTCAGAGAATCTGATAAGCCCCCTCTCTGCATTACAGTAATCTGTTGCTGAGCATTTTGTGGGAACCTAAAATTTTTAGTAGTCTGATATTTGTTATATTAGTGGGTGTCTAATGATTACTTGACAGCTGCATATTAATTTCTCTCGACTATTCTGTTACAAATAAGCAATTTAGGAAGCTGTGTTTGACTTAGTAAAATGGAATATTAAGTTTGCCATATTGTGTAAAAATAATGATGAGTATTTTAAAATAAAGAGATAGGAAACTAGAATGCTGGTTATAGGTAATTAAGATACAGGTTAATTTTATTAGATGAGTGATGCCATGGTAGACACCTCCAGTTTCTACCACTGAACCAAGCTTCTTAAAAGGAAAATCCCTGGATTGTGAATAAAAATTTACTTGGCTATGTATAAAGAGATGAATTATTTTACTGGTTTGAATAGTGTTCCCCAAAATTCACGACTCCTAGAACCCATGAGTATGACCTTATTTAGAAACAGAATCTTTTCAGTTGTAATCAAGTTAAGAGGAAGTCATGCTAGATTAGGGTGCGCCCTAATCCGATGGTTGGTGTCCTTACCAGAGAAAGGTATAGACATAGAGACACAGAGACAAACACAGAAAGTTATGGCCCCTATATTTTATGGTGTTCACCATCTTTTAATAAGATTAACTCCTTCCTCATCACTTTTATTCCTATCCAGTGGTTTTCTACTGTCTTTCTTTTCCTTTCTTGTGGAAACTTTTGCTACAATAATATTCTTACACATCTTTTCCTCTCCGGTGGTAATCATGTATCTTTTAAATGAAATTATTCTTTTTCATCGGCTCGTTTTATTTCCTTTTAATTTTTTAAGTCCATAATATGCCTAATCCTTTTGGTTTTTAAAATGTTTTTGATTGATACTACAAGATCCTAGTGCTCACCAATGAATGTTGAAATAGTACAGAGATTTTTAATGACTATGTTGTTAGATGCTGTTTGAACATTTGTACCCTGGAATGGAGTGGCAAATATTAATACCCAAAGGTGTTAACCAGTAGTGTATATGAGAGTTAAGTTACCTGTGATAAGATGGGCAGTATGTGCCTTATTTAGCTTTAGCTGATTTTTGTCTTGCAGGAAAATGGAAAAGTGGTAATGGAGTCTTACTCTTAACAGATCTCTTAATTTTTAGGGGAAGATGGAAAATCCAAGTTCAACAACTCTGAAAGTCTGAAATTTTATCCTACTTACAAGTTAATAGGCATTAGCTTGCTGCAGTTTTATCTATGCCGGCAGAAGACAGGAAACTCCTGGGTCAGAGACGAAGGACTTCATTACTCTGGCATTGGCAATAGCCAGAATAGCAACATTTTCTTACCCTGGTATCTTGAGCCTTAATTCCCAGAGGGTAACAGAGGAAAGGGCCGGCTAACCTGAGCACACAGTGCATTGTGTTACAACAAAGAAATTCCGAATTTAGGAAACCTGAATCCTTTATAGTGGGAAGTAAACATGCCTGCCCTTTGCTTTGAAGGGAGATTGTCTCCATCTTCCAAAGCTGTTCCCTATGCAAACATCATTGAAAGGATAGTCCAGAAGAATCTCAGACATTAAGGGGTTCTAGATACTTATTATAGTGAAATATTACTGAGTAATCTTTCAGAATTCATTTCCATATGTAACATTAAATATTACATTTTAATCATTTAAATTAAGCCTGATGATGTAGGGTAGTTGTATTTTTAAGGCTTTTGAAAACCTATAGTGCTAAGTTAAAGTCTAGGAAGTATTCATTTGTATTCTTGGTCTTATACTTTTATATTTCATAGATCCATATACTAACAAAATGAATTTTGAGGATCAACATAGGGTTGCCATTTCTTCTATTTTGCCATATATGAAAACAACCCTCTCAAAACATCTAAATACTATTACTATTGCTACCAATTTTAAAAAAATGAACCTAACCACTAATGCAATATGGCACTATGGATTGGATCCTGGAATGGAAAGAAAAAATTAAAGGAAAAACTGGTGAAGTCTAAATGTTCAGAGTCTAGTAAATGGTAATATACCAATGTCAGTTACTTGGTTTTGACAAATATACTAAAGAAATATAAGATATTAACAATGGGAAAACCTGGGTGATATACTATACTTCTCTATACCATCTTTGCAACTTTTCTGTGTATCAGAATTATTCCAAAATAAGTCTATTTAAAAAAGGAAAACAGTTGATATTTTAAATAATAAAGGTAAGGAAGTAAACATAGAACAAATGACAGTTTTTCAAAAATTAAATACATTTAGCTTTATGAAAAATTAAGTACACTGTACTTATTTTTATTTTTTTGACAGGAACTGATAAAGATTTTGAGATGCATTAGTATAGATTCATGGATTATTGGCATTTGGGAACCATGTGATAGCCTCACTTAATTTTAATTTACTGTAAATGAGAGGAAATAATCTTTTCACTTTTCTTAGCCTTTAGAATCAGATACTTTTAGAATCAATTATACTCTGTACCTGACCAGATATTTAGCCTATGTCCTTTTTGTGAATCCAGTCTGATTCTGTACAGTCACAGGTTATGAGTTTTAATCGGGATAGGTTGGTGGATCATCTTTAACATAAAATTTAGCTTTTTTAAGAATTTCCATTATGCAGCTGGCCCTAAGGAGACTTACTTTGTTATTTGTTTATTTTCTTATTTTAATTTGTATTAGAGATGCGGTCTCACTATGTTGCTCAGACTTGTCTTGAACTCCTGGCCTCAAGTGATCTCCCTCCTTGGCCTTCTAAAGTGGTGGGATTACAGGTGTAAGCCACCATGCCCAGCCTCCCAAGGAGACTTACAACTGGGAAGGTGGAGTAAAGATTGGAGGAGGGCAGGTTCCTGATGTTGATGCCAGTCGAGAGGGAGTTGAGACCAGGCAAGAAATGTGGTTTTGGTAGGAAAGCACCTGGTGGAACAGACTGCAGCCATGCAGCCACCAATGTGTCAGGACAGTGTATACCCTTGGGGGGAATCTAGGATGCAGTAGGGTTCAAGGACAGGCCGTTAGTTCCTGCAAGGTGGTATCAGCTAGAGCAGAGGTTCCCAACTATGGTAGCATATTGGAATCATCTGGGCAGATTTTTAAAATACCCAGGTCCCACCCTCTAGAGATTCTGGCGCAGTTGGTATGGGGTGAGGCTGTGAATTTTTTAAAAGAGCTTCCCATGTGTTACAATATGCTGCCAGGTTGGCAACTACTGTGCTAGGGTGGGGTGAGAAAGGGTCCCACTTGTGGAAGAGGGTGACTGGCATGAGCTTCCCAAACTGCATGGCAGAAGGCTGGTTCTAGGACCAGTGCCCATGGAGGGGGAGAAGGCTATGATTCAGTGAACAGAGCAGGAGAACAAGAGTTGCAGGGGCGGGTGTTTGGATCTGGAGGTGCCTACACTGGCCCTGACCCTTTTAGCATGACCAAACCATTCCTATCTGCCTGTGACTTTCATAGATGTAGCACTGAAATACCAGTATCCTGGGAAACCCCTTTGTCCCAGGCAAACTGGAAGTTTGGTTATTCTAGCCCCTTTGATCCAGGCCAAAGCATCCTGCATGATATCCTATGACCAGCACCAACAAAAATACAGCTCTGCCCTTCCTTGATATTCTTATCTCACCTTTTACCTTCCATTATGTTTCTGATAAAGCCAACTCTTTTTTGGGAAACAAGAAACAGAGTGGAGTACTACATTCTGTATCAGGAAGGGTCAGCTCAGGAACTAGTGTAAGATTTCAGTGAGCTTAGCAGTGAGGAGCTTCAGAATCAGAAACAGGAGTAGTGTAAAGCAGTTGTTCTCAAACTTTAGAATGCAGTAAAATCACCTGAAGGTTTGGCTGAATCACAGGTGGGTAGGCTGCATCCTCCGAGCTTCTGAGGAAGTCTATAGGGAGGCTTGAGAAATTTGCATTTCTAACAAGCTGATGCTTTTGGTCTGCAAACCACTCTTTGAGAACCACTGGTGTAAATAACCTTGACTTTGTAGCAGGCATACCTGGGTGTGGATGATCTCTCTCAGTCTATGGTTTCTCACTTGTAAAAGGGGGGAAATAATACTCACCTCATCAGTCATCATGAACTATCACATAATTCACTAAAAAGGATGTCCAGGATATGGTAGATACTTCCATTCTCTGAAAGATCTTTCTGTATCCTTTGCATGGGGACAGTTTGGTATTGAATATTTTTAGAGTTAACAATTCCAGATTTGATCATCAAAATCATGTAGAGGAACTTTTTACAACTATAAGAAACCTGGGGCCCTACCTCCTTGGAGATTCTGATTCAGCAGGCCTGAGGGAAGGCCCGGGCATCAGTTGGTTTAGAAAGCCTACCATGGTACTTCTGAGAGTCAGTTCTGGGAACTGCTATTTTGAGGAGCATTTCTCTTGTACAAGGGTTCTCAAGCACTGAATTTGTATTCAGTCATTTGGAGGATTTTAAAAGATGCTGATGCCTGGACCCCAGAGATTGTGATTTAGATGGTTGGGAGTAAGTCATGGGCATTGGAATTTAAAAGCTCCCGGGTGATTCTGAAGTGCAACCAAGGTTGAGAACCTCCCCTCTAGGGTATTCCTGGAACAAGAAAAACACGGAGTATTTGTTACAATGCAGATTCTTAGGTCTTACCTCAGAGCTGCCTGCACAAACTCTCTGGGCAAGAGACAGTATCTGCATTATAAATTGATGTCTTGAATTGTTATTCTTAACAAAGTTTGAGAATCACAGCTCAAGGGACATTATAGCATCCCTGAATATTGCCTGACTACACCTCCCTCACCTGTTTATATAGCACTTTACAGTGTACTTTACATTGTTATCTCATGGAATCTCCTGCATATCCTTATGAAACAGCTGGAGTAGATGTTATCTCTAGTTAATTGGTGAGGAATTGGATATTCAGGGAGGTTTTCTCTCCAGTAGCACGTGTGGGTATATAAACATAAATCAGGCAAATGTGCTTCTCTGAAAGGAGACAATAGCCTATTGGAGAAGTAAGACAGAAACAGGCATTCAGGTAGGAAGAGGTTGCAGTATGGTTGAAAAATACTATGAAAATTCAGAGAAGGAGGGGTTAGCAGGAAGTCATTTATGAGAAGGGAATTTGAGAAGGCTATTTGGAGGAGGTGGTTCTGGCCCATTTTAGAGCTGTCAAAGTCTAGTTTCCTTTGAGGAGCTTGATAGAGGGCATGTGACTATGGCTTTACAGCTGTGCTCCAATTGTTTCTCTTTATTAGGTTTTCCTCATTTTATGGCCCAGGCTGTGTAACTTCCTTTGTGTTATCATCTTGTCATATTTATAATAAATTCTATTTTTCCTTTGAGATTTTGCTATCTGTTTAATAAAAATGTGGTATGTCTTTGAATTTTATAAATAAATGATTATTTTGATGTTCCTAGAATAAAAAATTACAATAAATTTTTCTCCCATTAGGAAGATAAACCAATAATAGACATATAAACTATCGTCTTCATTTTTATAGAGGTAGATTTTTTTTAGCTATAACTATGTAGCTAAAAATAAACGTTTGTACTTTTATGGCTATGTTATTAGATCAAGGAGTATGAAGAAAGTTTCAAGGACAATGGATTTATTTCTGGAACAAAAGAGACAATAAGGAATAAAGCTATGACTGGCTGTCTGATAAAGAGCCCAACTCTGATAGGAAAAGCCCAAAAGGCTTTTCTCTTTTCCTGCAACATCTGTCTCAGATTATTGTATATAATACTTACTTCCATATAGCATACTTTTGACTTTTCTTCAAAAGTCATATGAAGACATGGAGAACCTTTATAATTGATAAGATTTGAGAAAGTTGGTTTGTTAGTGGTCTTTACTGAAATAGATAATTTTTAAGTAAAATGCAGTTTATGATTTTCAAATGCAGTGTATATTCTAAAACATGTAAGTGCAAAAAATACAATTATATCTGTCCCATTAGTTATTAAAATTTAAAATACACCTATTCTTTGACCTCCCAGGTCCATGTCTAGTACTCTATCCTGCATATATACTGATAGAAGTGCGCAGGAATATATGAAAGGATGTTTGTTGCAACATTATGACAGCAAAAAAGGAGATTATCTAAATGTCCATTAGTACAGGACTGTTTAAATGAATTCTGGTTCACCCCCGTAATGGAATAGTATGCCATCATTGGAAAAAATACTGTATTGATGTAGAAGGATGCCAAGCTTACCTTAAGAAAAAGAAAGTCAAGTGGCTGAACAGTGTACACAGTATAAAACTATTTGTGAAGTGAAAAGGATATATGGATATATGTGTATGTGTGTATGTATGCATCTACTTGAATGTACATAGACTATTCTTGGCATGGTACACAAAATGTGTCAAAAATGCTTACCATTTAGAAGGCATCTACAGCTTGAATAGTATATGTGAAGGGAGTATTTTTATTCTTCACTATGTACCCTTTCAATTCTTAGAATTTTTGCACCACATGTGTATTATTTTAAAATAACACATAAAATAATTATTTACAAAATAAAATATTAAATTTATATTTAATAATATAGTTTATATAAATTAAGAAAGCCCTTTAACAGCCTAACTCTTGGACTAAAAAACATTTCTAGGCATGTTAAAGGAAATAAAAGCTTCATTACTTCTTAGTTTAAATAATTATTGACTTATGATTAATAGTCCCTGAAAAATATTACAGCACAAAAATGAACTTTCACCATTATTGCTAATAATTACATATACCACCAGTTGAGACCTCAAGATTTGAATTGTAGTAATGCAAATTGAGATTTTTTTTTTCCCCTGGTGTTTATGCCTCTGCTGAAGTGTCATGGAAACATTTAATAATGATTCAACCATATTGAGCTCTTTGCTTCATTTGCCACGTTAGGCTTTTGTGCAGATGCATCCTGATCATCTGCTATTTTTGGCTTGACTCCTATTTTTTTCAAATCAGAGATTAGTGAAATATTGTTTTCCATTATTGAATCATCTATATAACTCTCCCCAATATAATGGAGGAATGCTTTTAAAAAATGAATTATTTGTCCTTTTTATGATTTAATATAACATGTTTCCAGAGTTGCGTTTTTGAAGAAAACTGTAGTAATTTATAAAATAGTATGCTTTGACATTGACATGTATTCTCATGACTATCAATTTCCATTGTTTTCTAGTCTGATACCATAATTCTCGAGAATTTTTTTTGTTTCTACTTCTCTTTATTTATCTTTGTTTCTACTATCTTCATGTGTTACTGTTCACTATGAGGCTCAGACTTCTAAGAGAAGAAGGTCTGATTCGGTTAGTCACTGTCCAATATAAGGAAACACTTATAGACAGAGTTCTGTCTTTATCAGGTCATCTGTTGACTGTTGACCTTTTATGCCTGGCCAACACAAAGCTAGAACTTTGATCTCTGATCCAATCCGATGTATCCAGGAAATCACGGGCATCTAAGTGATAACATCCTCTCATACACTCAGAATCTGATCTGTGGACTGTTCACCAGTCCAACAGCCCAACACACATTATTGTAACTTTTGTTAAATTTACTCTTAGCCCTGATGACAAAGTAGAATACAACACAACAGAATAAAAGAATAAACCAGCCTAGGGGAAAGTTTAGATTTGCCTTGCATAACTCACAGGTTCGAGGTTCAACATTGGGGATAGGACACAGGCCTTGTATCCACATAAAGTTTTCATCCCTACTTGGCAACTCCCCAGGTAGACAACCATAATCTCAGAGATTGTGGTTCCTATGTAGAAGAGGGATAAGAATATTTCTTTGTAGGATTGATATGAAGATTTAGTGTGATTGTGTATGTAAATTGAGTAGAACAGTAACAGACACAGTAATTATAATAGCAGCAAACACTTGTTGAGTACTTCCTATGAGCCAAGCATTACTCTAAACTCTTTATGTCTATTAGCTCATGTAATCCTCATAACAGCCCTATGAGATAATTATCTCCAATTGACAGATGAGAAAATGGAGGCACGGGCAGTCTCTGTAATTTGTTTAAGATTACACAGCTGGTAAGGGAAGGCGCCAATAGCTCACATTGTTAACATCTACACTACACTGGTGCTCCACATGAAGTCAGTGCCCCATGTTCTAGTGTCTAGGACTTGTTTCAGCCCCCAAGACTCTGTGGCCTTCTGGGTTCCATTCCCTGTACAACCCAGATGTGAAGTACCACCCTATCTTCTCCATTAAATGCAACCGCAACCCTCAGTTCATGATGATCAGTGGCTCCCCTGGGAATTTGGAGGTGGTTTAAGGTCCAGGATTGCATTGTGTACCATTTTACCTGCTCTCCACCCCCTCCCCAAAGCTGAGAGTTACCAGCTTCTGTGGGATTATCTCACAAGGAGCAGTAGTCTCAGGCTAGGCTGGTTTCCTTGGAATTTCGGTGAAGAAAATGTCTTCAGTCTGTTACATCTCCATGTCATCCTGTTCTCTCTCCTCCATTTGTGAAACACTGAACATTTTAAGTAGTGTCAGTCCTTAAGTCATACTGTGAAGTAGGTAACATTTGCGCCTTTAAACCACCCATCCTATCGGTCCTTTCTGTTTCACTCTTTCGTATCTCAGTGAGTCAATTTAATTAGAAGCTTTCAGCTACTGAAGAAATAGAAGATTGGTGACAGGATGGAAAGAGGTCATTTAGAGAAGAGCTTCTCGAACTTTAATGTGCATATGAATCATCTAGGGACTTGTTAAAATACAGATTCTCTACAGTAGGTTGGGGGTGGGGCCTGAGATTCTGCATTTTTAACAACCTCCTAGTGATGTCAATGCTGCTTGTCTCTGAACTGCACTCTGAGTAGTAAGTATTTAAAGGTGACATCCTAAGATGGCAGAAGATTTACCTTCTTACCTTTCCAGGCACATTGAATCCAAATAAATGAATCTCTCTTAGTAGAATTTTATTAATGCAATTGGATGCTAAGAAAAACTTCACAATTTAAAACCCCGCCCATAAACTGCTTACCAGTTAAAGCCATTGCTGGTTTCAGAAAAGAATAGTATGAACCTGTTTATCTGGTAATCAATATAAACACTGTAAAAACAAGCATTTCCTCCATCAATATAATTTAGTGACTCTCAAATGATTTATATTCATTTTTACTTAGTTTTATGTAAAAGAGTATTGCTTTGCTGCTGCTCATGATTGAATTTCTTTTTTTTTTTTTTTTTTTTTTTTTGAGACAGGGTCTCTATCGCCCAGGCTGGAGTACAGTGGTGCCATCTCAGCTCACTGCGACCTCCACTTCCCTGGTTCAAGCGATTCTCCTGCCTCAGCCTCCCGAGTAACTGGGATTACAGGCATGCACTACCACATCCAGCTAATTTTGTATTTTTAGAAGAGACAGGGTTTCACCATATTGGCTGGGCTGGTTTGGAACTCCTGACCTCAAGGGATCCACCCACCTCAGTCTCCCAAAGTGCTGGGATTAGAGGCATGAGCCACTGCACCTGGCCCATGGTTGAATTTCTTATAACTAGGAAAGCAGATGATTAAACTTTGGTGCAAGGGTCACATATGTATTTCCTTTCTTTTCTTTTTTTGTCATTTTTTCTTTTGAGACAGAATTTCACTCTTTTTGTCCAGGCTGGAGTGCAGTAGCACAATCACAGCTCACTGCAGCCTCAAACTCCTGGGTTCAAATGATCCTCCTGCCTTAACCTCCCAAGAGGCTAGGAATACAGGTGCATGCCACCACATCCAGCTAATTTCAATTTTTTTTTTTTTTGTAGAGACAGGGTCTTGCTATGTTGCTTAGGCTGGTCTTGAACTTCTGGCCTTAAGTGATGCTCCTGCCTCGCCTCTGAAAGCATTGAAATTGTAGACATGAGACACTGTGCCTGACTCCCCATGTGTATTTCAATATCTCTTTCTTTGTTCCTCTAATATCACCTACATAAAAGAAAGGTCAAGTCAACTTTTATTTCCCTGAATTTTGATTTAGAGTCAGCTCACTCAGAGTGTTTATGAATAATTCTGTTAGAAAAGATTTGATAATGCTAATCTGAATAATGAAATATCATGCAGAGTTCTAGATGTGGAGGTGCATTGTGAGTAGAAACCTCCTGTGAAATGAAGCAGCTGATTCTCCTTGTGATGCAAAGACTTACATTCTTTATTTCTGTTTTCAGGGAGGAGAGCACTGTTACTACCAGGGCCATATCCGAGGAAACCCTGACTCATTTGTTGCATTGTCAACATGCCACGGACTTCAGTAAGTGTTCAAAAAGTTATTTTTACTGTTTGTTTTTTCAATAATTTATTTTCTTTATTATGAATGCACTATAGTAGATATCCCTATTTTGTGTCAAGAAATGACTTTAAATTGGTGATGGATCTGATTTTTTTTTTCTCTTTTGTATTTTATAAACCAAGCAGATTTTTAAATTAGGGTTGCAAATGGTCGGGCGTGGTGGCTCATGCCTATAATCCCAGCACTTTGGGGGGGTCTAGGCAGGCAGATCACCTGAGGTCAGGAGTTCGAGACCAGCCCAGCCAACATGGTGAAACCCTGTCTCTACTAAAAATACAAAAATTAGCCGGGCATGGTGGCAGGTACCTGTAATCCCAGCTACTCGGGAGGCTGAGGCAGGAGAATCACTTGAACCTGCGAGGTGAAGGTTGCAGTGAGCCAAGACCATGCCACTGCACTCCAGCCTGTGGGATAGAGCGAGACTCTGATTCAAAAAAAATAAAGAAAGAAAGAAAGAAAGAAAGAAAAGTCCTACATTTTGCAAAAGAAAGAAAAAATATATATTGTCAAGAAAAAAGATAAGCATACTTTAAGGAGATGCTAGACTCCATCTCAAAAAAATTAAATAAAATTAGAGCTGCAGAAAACAGAGGCTTTTGAATTTCACAATGATACCTTAAAATGATATTTGAAGCATTTTTCTAGTTTCATCCAAATTCAGACAGGAGTGATTTGGGTTAACTTTGGTGTCTGTTTCTGTGGATGTTTAGCCCCTTGATATTCTTCCCTACTCCTTCTTTATATTAGTTTTTATATTTTTGTCAAATAATAGCAGTTTCAGTAAATGGAAACGCCTGACTCCTTACACAAAGAGAAAAGGCTGCTAGTGATCTCAAGAGCTCATATGTCTTTGCCCCTTTTTTTCAGCCTGAATCCCACCTAATTCATAGCAAATCTGTGGGAGGGTCTGTCGTTTCTCAGAGATCTCCGAGGAACAAAGTTCATCCTTCCTCAAGGCCTTGCTTCCTTTCTCATAACCTTCTCTATCAAATAATGTTTGCTGATGTTTAACATGGGAATACATCCACTTCCTCCATCCTGTCGATAATGATAATGCACAGGTGGTTGTTTCTTACTTGTTTTGTAACCCCTTATAAAGCTACCGTGTCATTCCTCAGCATTCTCTTTTAACTAAATCGTTTCATTTCCTTCTTGTTTGTTTTACTTTTTGGCACAGAACAATCCAGCACTTTAATTTTGTTAAATTTTCGTTGAGAAACTTTAAAATAATTCCTTTTTGTTACCATCTTAGAGATGTGGCTTTTCATCTAACAAGCAGTTACTGGGTGTCTCCTGTGTGCCAGCCCTAGGAATATTAAGGCGATTGAAACACAAGTCCTGGGAGCTCACAGTCTCATGAGGAGGCCAAATCTAGCCCATTTCCTGATGTGGAACATGATAGGTATATTTGCTTTTTTTTTGAGAGAGAGAGAGGAAAAAAAAAAAAACAAAACTGGGAAAAATGCAAGCTAAGCATTGTCACCGAAGAACAGGTGGCACCTAAGGGCTCTGGAAACATGCCACCTGAAGACAGTGGAGTGCAATAGGTTGGAATAGCCTATCCAAGGGAGAGGGTTACACTGACAGATCTTAAATCTAGGAAAGAGAGCTAATGGACACGGCCAGAAAATCTAGCTAGTCTGCCTGAGTGACACCTCTGGTCAGGATCTGGGAATAAGCATATTAGGCAGAAAGGAAAGAATATAAGTGTAAGTTAAATAACCAGAGACAGGAGGCCATGTGTCTGAGAGCATGGAAGACTTCCATTTCCTTGTTTGTGCTAAAAGACTACTGTGAATAAAGGTGTACATTTATTTACTTTAAATACATTATTTGAAGAAAGAGGTTTTTACAAACATGGAATCCATGCTTAATATCAGACAGTCTCTGTTTTCTTATTAGGAAAAAGAAACATTGAAGTCCTTTTCAGCAGTAAAATTGTTACATCTGAGCTCAAGACAAGCACATCTGTCACCTAGGAATAGTACAGTGAGACCTGTTCACATTTGTGACAGCAAGTGTATATTGGGGGTAAAAAATGAAGTGTTTTTTTTCCCCTTTTCTCTCTCTTAAAATCTCAATCCAAAGTCCTAGTGTCAGCATCTTTCTCAGTACTCGTTCCAGTCTGCCTTCTGGTTTTCCAAATGGACTCAATGTTGTGAGAATCAGAGAGAAGATATTTGTGCCTTCTAAGGGCTATAAATGGACCTGAGAACCTAAGAATGATACCTGTTACTAATCCTACTATAGTCTTGTAAAGAAGGATTGAAAAATAACTTTTAGGCCGGGCACGGTGGCTCACCCCTGTAATCCCAGGCATGAGCCACCATGCCCACTTTTCTTTTTTCTTTTCTTTTCTTTTTTTTCTTTTCTCTTCTCTTTTCTTTTTCTTTTCTTTTGTTCTTTCATTCATTCGTTCATTTGTTCGTTCGTTCATTCATTCTTTCTTTTGTTCATTCTTTTCTGTCAGAGTCTCACTCTGTCCCACAGGCTGAAGTGCAGTGGTATGATCTCAGCTCGCTGCAGCCTCCGCCTCCCAGGTTCAAGCCATTCTTGTGCCTCAGCCTCCTGAGTAGCTGGGATTACAGGTGGCTGCCAGCATGCCCATCTAATTTTTGTATTTTCAGTAGAGACGGGGTTTTGCCATGTTGGCCAGGTTGGTCTCGAACTCCTGACCTCGTGATCCGCCCACCTCAGCCTCCCAAAGTGCTGAGATTACAGGGTTATTTTAATTAAGTAAATTTTATATCTCCTTTTAAGAATGTTTTTATTTAAAACTAAATAAAAATAAACAGAAAACCTATCGTGTGTCTTGGAACATTGTCAGAATTGTGTATGACCATTTTAGGCTTTCTTAGACTTTTATGAGCACATAGGATAAATATAACCTTGTATCATCTTGTTGTTTAGTAATTATTGCTTCTCATCTTGACTTTACTTTCTGGAAGAAATGTTTTGGGGGGATGTTATGAAATATTGAATAATGTATGTTGTCCCAATTACAGTGGTTTAGATATGAGATATATTATGTCATCCATGACTCATCCTTTATAAATTACCAAGTGCGTACTGTTTTTTTTTTCATTTTTGATTTATTAAATTCAGTTCAATAATATAAATAAGGGAAAATCAGATTCGTATATCTTTCCCATAAAGAACCTGCAAGGTCACATTTGTTTGGAGTCAAAGGACTAATAGGCAATGTTTTGATCTTGGTGTGTTTGGTGTTAATGCAAAAATCTTGTTACTGTGGGAACCTTAAAGCACGGAGTTAAGTTTGAGTTTATTGCCCTCTTGTGGAAATTTGTAAGAATGGCTTTTTCATTTCAAAATCTTATTTTGATACAACCTTTTGAAATTTTAGCTCAATTGGTCTGTGACGACTTGGTCTTAGCTATAGGTTTTTATCAAGTATACTGTTATGGACTCAATATAAAAATTAGGATTTATATAAGTAAAACAAAAATATTTCAGTTCTCAAAGCATATAAAACACATGTATTTTTTCATTATTAAGGAATTAATAATGGCATATTATCATATAGCAATCTAGAGTCTTCTGAGATACAGATAGTGTCAGAATCTGTTGTCTTCATATTGCCTACATGATGTTTAAGTCCAATAAAAAAATGACTTTCTCATTGGACATTAACCTAGTATAAGGATAAATAACACTCAGTACTATTTTAAGAAAATAATCTGCTTGCTACTTTGTTGGTGTTGCCACGTGAATTTTGGCAAACTATGATGGTTTCATATGACTTTCTGGATGGATATGGCTAGTTCTCAGCAAGGGTAGAGAGATACTCCCTGCCATATTTGGTCTACGTTTTTGAAAGGCTCCCCCTCTGACTCCTTGGGCACATATTGTCAGTAATGTCTTACAAACTGCATCTGTTTATGTTTAAATTCCAAATAGAATGTCATCCAAATTCAGAAAGTACATGTGGCTGAAAACAGTGCAGCTGTGAGAATAATCATTCTGTGAGTATATAGAAGTTGAGGACATGTGGAAGATGTTATAGCAGGAATGAAAGAATTTGGATAGAGGCAGAACTTGGAGGCCATTATAATTATAGCTCATGGAATTTCACCAATTTCACTAAATCTTCAATGAAAGACAAATACTAGTTTATGTTTAGGAGCTTGGCTGTCACATAATCATTTCTACCAAAAACTAAAAAATTACTACAGCTCATAGCTTTGCTACCCTCAGATGCCTGAATGATAAGACAAGTTTCTTTAACATCATAAAGGGCCTGATCTCAGTAAAAGGATCATGTTCTTCTAAAAGCAGCAGCTATCAGAATCTGTCTGAGTGGGAGCTGAGGCCATTTGTATATTGAAGTGCTCTCCAGAGGATTTCTCAGATGGCTGGTAGCCACCCCCAGCCTACGAGGTCCAAAATGGAATTTTTTATTTTTAAAGAAATATAGGGTCTTGCTCTGTCACCCAGGCTGGAGTACAGTGGCACAATCATCAATCACTGCAGCCTTGAACTCTTGGGTTCAGGTGATCCTCCCACCTCAGCCTCCCAAGTAGCTGGGACTACAGGTGTGTGCATCACCAGGCCCAGCTAACTTTTTAAAAATTTTTTGTAGAGAGAGAGTCTTGCCACTCACTACGTTGCCCAGGCTGGTCTCAAACTCCTGGCCTCATGTGATTTCCCCCCGCCTTGGCCTTCCAAAGTGTTGGGATTCCAGATGTGAGCCCCATGCCCAGCTCAAAACTGAACTCTTAAAGGATTTGCATCCTTCCCTCTGCTTCCTGCTTCCCTAGGCCCATCCCGAAAAGTTCTTTCTGCATCCCCCCTGCCTGCCCTCTTTTTTTTTTTTTTTTTTTTTTTTTTGAGACAGGGTCTCACTCCATTACCTCTTTTTTTATCTTGTTAAATGACATGTCCATTTTTCCAGTTGCTCAGGTCAAAACTTGGAGTCTTCACTAACTCTTCTCTGTTTTACGTACTTTGTTTCAAATCCATCAGTAAATCCTACTGGTTGTACCTTCAAAATATATCTGGAATTTGACCAGTTCTCACCACCTCTACTATTACTGCTCTGATCTAAGCCAGCATCTTCTTTCGCCTGGATTATTGCAGTAACTTCCCTGCTTCTATCCTTGCTGTGCTAAAAATTATTGTAACATAGTATCTGGCATGATCATTATAAAACTTAAGAAAGATTGTATTTCCCATCTGCTTAGAACTTTGCAGTGGCTCTTCATCTCTCTTAGAGTAAAAGCCAAGGCCCTAGGAAGTGCCCACCTAGTATGGCCCCCAAGACCCTCTGGCACCATTTATTGCCCTTCACCTGATTATTTTCTTCCCTAGAACTTATCACTGTCATATGTATGTGTATGTGTGTGTGTATATATATATATAATATATATATTATAAATAAATAAATAAATATATATATATATATATATATATATATATATATATAGTAAGTCCTAGAATACTTATGAGCACCACAAGGACAGAGAATTGGTCTGTTTTGTTTGCTATTGTATCCCCAGCACCTAGAACAGTGCATTGTAGGTGCTCTGTAAACACGCTGATTGAATGAAGGAATGCATGAATGGAGGTAGGTAGCAGGTTGCAAATGGGCAGTTCGTGGTCCCATCTGTCTGGGCTCTGTTCCTATTTCTGCTCTTACTGGTTAAATAATTTGGCAAGTTACTTTATCTCTTTGGGTTTCAGTTTCCTTACTTATAAAATAAGGATAGTCGTTGTACTTCTCTTGTAGATTTGTGGAAAAGATTAAATGAGTGTAAAGTATTTAGCTTGTGGCAAGTTGTTCAAATGTGTTAGCTCTTGTTACTAGAGCATCTTCCATGTTTATGGTAGGTCGGGCGTTCTCAGTATAGTCCCTGAAAACCTGCATCAGGATCACCTGGAGCTTATTTAAAATGCAATTTCCTGGGTTCCAGTCCATAAATCTGAGGAGAGTCCTGAAAGAGCTGCGTTTTTACTAGCTCTCCAGATGACTTTTTGCATATGAAAATCTTGGAATTCTATGTTAGAGGAAGAAGTGATGGGCAACAGCTAGAGCATGGCAATCCTGAGCATGGGGTCAGGTGAGGATGAGGTGACTCTACCTATAAGGAATCAGAAGGAGGGGCCTTCCCTCTCAGTGGTGTGTGTGGTGTGTCTGGAGGTGATGGATGGGACTGGGAAATGGGCATTGAGAAGCAAATGGGCCCTCTGGCTGCTGCTGATTTTAAAATGATCTTGTTCTGGGATGAGAGTCGATGGCCATGCCTAATTATTTTTTTGTCGTTGGCAGTGGGATGTTCTATGACGGGAACCACACATATCTCATTGAGCCAGAAGAAAATGACACTACTCAAGTAAGTGCTCCTTCTGTTTGTTGTGGCAAATGGAAATGTTTATGCTGAGAGCTTTTTTCCTCTCCTTTTTTTATCTCTACTTTATTTCATTTTTATATTTTTTAGGGTTAAGATAGTAAACATATGTACAGATGCTCCTCAACTTATGATGGGTCTATGTCCTGATAAACCTATCATAAGTTAAAATATTATAAGTAAAAAACGTATTTAATACCCTGATAAATGCATCATAAAGTCAAAAACATGTATGTTGGGGACTGTCTGTATATTTTAAACTAAATATTGAGTAAGTCAAAACCACAAGTGTTTTTTAAAAAATTTCTTGCCAGGTGTGGTGGCTCATGCCTGTAATCCCAGCACTATTGGAGGCAGAGGTGGGCATGAGGTCAGGAGTTAGAGACCAGCCTGGCCAACTTGGTGAAACCCCGTCTCTACTAAAATACAAAAATTAGCCAGGTGTGGTGGCATGCGCCTGTAATCCCAGCTACTTGGGAAGTTAAGGCAGAAGTATTGCTTGAACCTCCTGCCACTGCGCTCCAGCCTGGGTGACAGAATGAGACTCCGTCTCCAAAACAAACAAACAAACAAACAAAAAATTTCTTTTGTTTCTTTCTCTTTTATATTGGAAATATAATACTTTCCCTTTGAGGTGTTCTGAAATCTCTATTTCCATCTCAACCCTAATGTGTTATGATCTGTCTTAGTTTGACTTGGCTACCATAACAAAATACTGTAGACTGGGTGGCTTAAACAACAGAAACTTTATCTCAGTTCTGGGCACTGAAAGTCCAAGGTGCCATCAGGGTTGACATCTGGTGAGGGCTCTTTGCTTGAGTTGCAGATGGCTGCCTTCTCACTGTGTTCTCACATGGCAGAGAGAGAGAGAGAGAACTCTGGTTGTCTCCACTTGTTATAAGGGTACCAGCTATACTGAATAAGGATCTCACCCTTATGACCTCATTTAACATTTATCACTTCCTCACAGGCCTTATCTCCAGACAAAATTACCCTGGGTGCCAGGGCCTCAATATGAGAAGTCTGGGGACACACACACATTCAGTCCACAACAAATCAAATCCACAGAGCTGTGATTTTTCACCCCTCCTCTCTTTTCTAGATTCCAGATTTTTCTCTATTGTCTATTGCTTTTAAGGCTCTATGCTGATGAAGTTTAGAGAAACCTGAGTCATCTTAATCCTGTCTCTCACTTTAGCTGAAACATTCATTTCCCACAAATTAGAAGAAGTTGAATTAATATTATAGACTACACAGAAACATAATACACTTTCATTCTAGCTCTGTACATACAAATGTTCTTCCTCGTATTACACAACATTGCTTAAGCAGAGAGGCAAATTCTTCCAAGAAACATGCATGGCTTTGTCACCCATAAACCATCTTGTTTGGGAAATTCTCTGTATTGTGTATTATTTTATGGGTACCCACTGCTGCCTGTCTTGTCACTTTGCTTGACAGTATGATTTTTTTAAGATAATATGAAACCGGACTATGACATTCTAATTTTTTTTTTTAGTAATTGGATGAAGCCAGATGAAATTATATTTGAGTGTTTATTAACTTTTTAGAAGAAAAATGTGACTTTTTATCTCTTGCTTTTTCATATAGCTTGTATGACACTTGAATTTCAGAACAGGGTCCACTTTGGACATTTACTTATACCAGGCATCCTGCTCCCCAATACTATGAAGATTGTTAGCTCTGTAGTCTGCCTACCAAAGCTCTCTGACTTTTAAAAGGGTGCAGGGATCCGTGAAAGGAATCAGTAATAAAAAAACATTAAGTCATTTTGCCAAATGTCTTATTTGTCCTTGGGGGAATAGATTCATTCATTTGTTTTCCATTACTGTAGGCTTTGGCTTCTCTGTGAAGGCATTTTTCTTCTCATTGGATGTTGCTCTGGTGCTGAGAGAATACAGGAGAGAATAGGAGGGGTTGGGCAATGGTTCATCACCTCTCTAAACCCAGGAGAATGCATAGGCAAGCTGTGGTTCTTTTAAGGGTCTCCAGCTATGTTTGCCTAAGGCTGGAGATAATCCTGTTGTACATGCTTAATCACTGTTGCTTGTGTCATTTCAGGAGGATTTCCATTTTCATTCAGTTTACAAATCCAGACTGTTTGAATTTTCCTTGGATGATCTTCCATCTGGTATGATGTTCATATAGTGACTTTTTATCTAAAAGACAACTTCAGTAATTTATTTAATGCCTTAGAACTAATCTATATTTGGAATATCATTAGCCCACATCTGCTTTTGACATTTTTAGAGGGAGAGCCAAGTCACGTCAAGAGGGAGAATAAAATGCAAACTGTCCTCACAGATGAGTTTGGAAAGATGTGGAGGAAAACTTTAAAAAATTTTAAAATTAAAAATAAGGCACTAAAGGAGAAACAAGATTAGAGCAAGAATTGGTCTGTGAGACAAAGTACATACAAATTCACTCTTTGTGAAATACTGGTCTTGTAAACATAGGGATGAACTCTTAATCATTTCCCTATTTATTGTTTTCCTTGTCTCTTTTTTGCTCTAGCATTTTAAGAAAGAACTATTATGGGTTAACTTTTATTATCATTATGTGTTATTTGTGAAATTAGTCATTTCTTCTCATCTATACCTAAATGGATCTAGGTTAATTTTAAGAGTGTTTGTCTCCCAAGATTACTTATGATTTACTATAATAAGTTAGAAGAAAACAAGAAATAGACAAATGTCAAAAATACAAATTTAGTGAAATATTTTCAAAAGTAAGCTAATTTATTTTAGGTTGAATAAATGGACCTAGCAACCTATGTTGCTTTGAGAGTCGCTTCCAAGTCTTCACATGACAGGAAGGGCAGTGCATGCATACTTTGCCCTCCTTAGTGGAGCAGTGATTATGCAGGGTGAGTTAGCGTTTGTCTTTGGCTGTGCTGGACTCATTTGTTTTCTTCTGAAGACAGACAGCACACTGAATATCTTTATTCAGAAGATATCTGGATATCTGGTATGGAGATGCTTCCTCCACTATTTAGTGAGCCTTATTTTAATTTTTTTTTTTTTTTTTTGAGACAAAGTCTTGCTCTATCGCCCAGGCTGGAATGCAGTGACGCGACCTCAGCTCACTGCAACCTCCGCCTCCTGGGTTCAGGCAATTCTTCTGCCTCAGCCTCCCAAGTAGCTGGGACCACAGGCACACACCATTACGCCTGGCTAATTTTTGTATTTTTAGTAGAGACAGGGGTTTCGCCATATTGGGTAGGCTGGTCTCGAACTCCTGACCTTGTGATCCACCTGCCTCGGCCTCCCAAAGTGCTGGGTTTACAGGCGTGAGCCACTGTGCCCGGCCTGATTATTTTAATTTTTAATCTCGTTTTAATCTTTGCAGCAGCCCTGTAAGATTAATGTTATTCCCGGTTTGTAGATGAAGAAACAGAGCTCAGCTAGTTTGTCTTTTCCAGGGTCCCACAGCTAGCAAGGGGTAAAGTTGAGTTTTGAATTATGACACTATGGTAGAGAAGCACAGAGGGAAACGGAGTAATCCTAAACTAATGCTTAGATAATCACTTAGAAGTTTACATTGTCTCTTCATCAGAAAATAAATGTTTCCTAATGTTCCTTTCTCTCTAAATGAAGTTTGTAACTCCTTGTCCTCCTGTAATTTTCCTAAAGAGAAATGAACATTCTCTCCCCTTCTCTCCTGCTGCCAGAGGGATAGAAGATTTAATAGAATTTACTATTTTGAAAAATCTTCAAATGGGAATATAGATGCTCTTACCTCTCACAGACTTTTTAGACTGTTCTTTCAGTGATCTTATAAAACTTTTTAAAATCCCTATTCTGATAAGAAAATAAGTCATGACTAGCTGTGTGGGAATAAAGCTATAATTTAATGGGTATTACTGGGAGCAGTCAACATTAATTAATATTTAAAGTAATAAATAAAGATTTTTCCCTAAAGACTTGACTGTAGGCTTGCTAGGATATAACCTTATATATCTATCTATCTATCTATATATATATATATCTTTTTTTTTTTTGAGAAAATCATTCAGGGTTTCTTTCCAGCAGAAACTTTGATGGTGACTTGGCAGTTTTGCTGTTATTAAAATGATTTTTAGACACATTCTTTAAAAACTCAGGTCTGTTTCAATCAGTTTCTAGTTTTCTTTTCTCATCAGAAGTTGGCACTGTCAATTTTGAGAGAGTTTGTCTCCCAACATTACTTATGATTTACTGTGATAAATGAGAAGAAAACAAGAAATGGACAAATAAATGTCAAAACTGCAATTTCTGTGAAACAGTTTCAAAAGTAAGTTTAATTATTATAGATTACATAAAGTTTAACTGGGTTGTAGATTATCAACATCATCATCTTGTTATGTTTTATATATTTCCCAGCGATAGACATAGGATCAGCTGTTCCCCAAACTTGCTGGACTGTGGAACATTTGCTTTACATGGCATGTACCTGTCTCAGGACTAGTGTTTCTGAGAACATATTCTGGGAAAATCTTATTTCCTGTGGACACTTATGCACCCAGTTAAAAAAATATGCAATGAAATATAAAAGTCTTGTGTACCATTCAATGACTTTTTACATACCTACACTCTTGTTGAGAGATAGAGCATGTCCATTACCCCAATAACTTCCTTTGTACTCTTTGTAGTCAGTGCCTCCCACCTCTGCCATTCCTTTTGTCTGTTGTAGAACTTTATACAGATGGAATCATGTACTATGTGCAGCTTCTTTTGTTTAGCACATGCCTGTGAGGTTTATGTTGTCAAGAGTAGCAATAGTTCATTCTTTTAAATTATTGAATATGTTGTGTCCTATGAATATACCACTTTTTTCAGGGGTGGGGGATGGGGTCTTGCTGTGTTGCCCAGGCTGGAGTGCAATAGTGCGATCTCGGCTCACTGCAGCCTCTGCCCCCTGGGTTCAAGCAGTTCTCCTGCCTCAGGCTCCCGAGTAGCTGGGACTACAGGCATGCACTATCATGCCTGGCTAATTTTTGTATTTTTAGTAGAGACAGGGTTTCACCATGTTGGTCAGGCTGGTCTCAAATTCCTGACCTCAAGTGATCCACCCGCCTTGGCCTCCCAGAGTGCTGGGATTACTGGCATGAGCCACTGCGCCCGGCCTATAACACAATTTTTAACTTATTAAGTTGATGGACATTTAGGTTGTTTCCGGTTTTTGACTATTATGAGAAAAGCAACTATGCACGTTATTGTACAAGTCTTTTCTGTGAGCACATATTTTCATTTCTTCCAGTAAATACCTAGGAATAAAATTGCTGGGCCATAGGGTAGGTACATGTTTAACTATGTTGACAGTGTCCTCAAACCTTAGCATGCATCAGAATCATCTGGAGGACTGGTAACCACAGATTGCTGGCCCCATCTTGAGAGTTTTAATTCAGTATATCTTGGGTGGGATTGGAGAATTTGTATTTCCAGTGCTTCCCAGGTGATGCTAATGCTGCTGGTGCTGGAATCACACTTTGAGAACCACTGTTTTTTTTTAATATATATATATTTTTTATTATACTTTAAGTTCTAGGGTACATGTGTACAACGTGCAGGTTTGTTACATATGTATACATGTGCCATGTTGGTGTGCTGCACCCATTAACTGGTCATTTACATTAGTTATATCTCCTAATGCTATCCCTCCCCCCTTCCCCCACCCCACAACAGGCCCTGGTGTGTGATGTTCCCCTTCCTGTGTCCAAGTGAGAACCACTGTTTTATGAGAAATTGCTGAACCCTTTTTCCAAAGTGGGTACACTCTTTTATATTTGTGTCAGCACTCTATGAGAGTTTTAATTGTTCCACATCTTGACCAACATTTGCTCTGTCATTCTTTAATTTTAGCTATTCTAGTGTATGTGGTGGTATCTCACTTTGGTTGAAATTTGCATTTTTCTTGTGATTAATGATGTGTAGTATATACTTACTCGCCACTAATCAGAATTTCTGTCTTTTTTGTTGTTAAGTTGTAGGAGTACTTACATATTCTAGATAGAAGGCCTTTGCCAAATATGCCTTATGAATATATTTTTCCCAGTCTTTGGCTTGCTCATTTACTTAATGGCATCTTATGATGAACAGATGTTTTAAATTTCATGAAGTTTAACATTAGTTTTTATCGTTATTGCTTTCTCTATGCTAAGTAATTTTTGCTAGCTCCCAAGTTTTGAAGATATTCTCTAGTGTTTTCTTCTAAAAACTCTATAGTTTTATTTTTTATGTTTAGATCTAGGATCCTCTTCAAATTACTTTTTGTGCATGGTGAAAAGTAGGGGTTAAGTTTTATTTTATTATTTTGTATGTGGATACACAATTATTTTAATACCATTTGTTGAAAACAGTTTCCTTTCATCAATGAATTGTTTTGATGTCTTTGTTAAAAAGTATTAAAAGTATGAATATGAGTCTATTTCTTGACTCTTATTTTATTTGGCTACCCTTATCACACTTTGTTTTGCTTACTGTGGCTTTATATAAGTTTTGAAATCAAATAACGTAAATCCTCCAATTCTGGTTTTTCCAAAAATTTTTGGCTATTCTGGGCCCTTCACATTTCCCTACAGATTTTAGAACCTGCTTGTCAATTTCTATAATTCTGGGATTTTTATTAGAATTGTATTAAAAGTATGGGTTAATGGGGGAAAACAGCATATTATTAGTAGTGAGACTAAAATTTCTTTCAGTGTTTGGTCATTTTTAGTGTAGATATTGTATTATCTATTGCTGTATAAGAAATTACTCTAAAACTTAGTGGCTTTAATAAACAAATATTTATTACCTCATAATTTCTGAGAATCAGGAACCTGGGTGTGGTTTAGCTGGGTGCCTGTGGCCCACGGTGTCATGAGTTTGTAGCGTAACTGTCAGCTGGGACTACAGTTTCATTTGAAGGCTCAACTGGGAAGGATTAGCTTCTGAGCTCACTCACATAATTGTTGTCAGGCCTCAGTACCTCACCACATGGGCCTCTCCACAGGGCTGCCCCCCACCAACCTGGTAGCTAACTTGTTCCAGGAGATAGTGAGAGACCAAGAGAAGAGAGAATGAGACAGTATGCCTAAGACGGAAGCCACAGTCTTTTTGTTAACCTGATCTCAAAAGTAACATCTGATCACTTTTGCTGTATAGTATTTATTAGAAATGAGTCACAGAGTCCAGCCTTCTCTCAAGGGAATGAGATTATACAGTGTCATTGTATTAGTTATCTATTGCTGAGGAATTCATTTTTATTATGTACAGAAAAATTAGAAAGTAGCTGAGTAATAAATTACCACAAAATGCACCTCTTAAGACAATACACACTTATTATCTCACAGTTTCTGTGGATCAGGAGTCCAAGGATGGCTTAGATGGGTTCTCTGTTTCAGAGTCCCTTACAGGCTGCAGTCAAGGTGTTTTCTAGGACTGCATCTCATCTCAAGGCTCAACTGTGGAAGGATATGCAGTTGTCGTTGGCAGAATTCAGTTCTTCTTAGCCTCTTAGACCAAGGGCCTTGGTTTCTTGCTGGCTTTTGGCTGATGGTTGCTCTCTTTCTCACATAGGCCTCTCCATAGGGAAGCTCACAACACTAGTGCTCATGTAATGAAAGCCAGTAAGGAAGAGAGTCTCTAGCAAGATGAGTTACAATCTTGTATGATGTTATCTTGAGAAATGACAGTTCATCACCTTTGCTGTATTCCATTGGTTGGAAGCAAGTTACAGGTTTTACTCACACTCAGAGAGAGGGCATTACAAAAGGGCGTGAGTACCAGGAGGTGGAGACTATTAGAGGTCATCTTAAAGTCTGTCAAATTCTTCTCTTTGGCCCCCAGTAATTCCTGTCCCTTTTACCTGCAAAATACATTCTCTTCCTCCCTAGGTCTCTAAGCATTTCATCCCGTTATAGCATCTGCTCAAAGTCTGGAATCTCATTATCTAAATCAGATCCAGGTGTGGATGAGGGTTTTTGGGTGTAATTTCTCTTAGTCCTTCTGTGTGTAAAACTAAAGAGACAAGTTATCTGCCCTATGTAGTCCCAGGATCCAGTAATGGGCCAGCTATAGACATTCCCTTACAAAAGAGGGAAAATTCGAGAAACAAGAAAGACACTGACATTGCAGTTCTGAAATTCTGCTGGGCAAATGTTGACCCTTTCTTGACTGGGTTTCAAGGCCTAGAAATAATTCTCCATGACTCTTGGCTCTGTGTTCTCAACTCTTAATTCTGCTCATCCTTCCTTTTCCATGAAAGGTAGCACATATTTGCATCTGAGTAGTTTTATCAGTCTGCTATTCTAGTTTGCTAAGAGTTTTTATCAAGAATAGGTGTTGAATTTTGTCAAATGCTTTTCTATGTCTATTACGGGATCATATAATTTTCTCCTTTAATCTGTTAATGTGATGAATTGTATAAATTGATGTTTTGAATATGAAACTAATTTGCATTCTTAAATGGGCCCCAATTGGTTATGGTAGATTATATTTGTGTGTATTACTGGGTTTGATTTGCCTATGTTTTGTTAAGCATTTGTAAAATATAGGTTCAGAAAGCATATTGGACTGTAGTTTTCTTTTCTGGTTTTAGTACCAGGGTTTTACTGGTCTTATAAGATGTGTTAGGAAAAGTTTCCAAACTCTTTTTTTTTTCTAAGTTGGTGTAAAAGTGGTATTATTTCTTCCTTAAATCTTTGGTAGAATTCATCAGTGAAGCCATCTGGCCTTGTGGTTTTCTTGGAAAGTTTAATTAAGAATTAAAGTTATTTAATAGATACAGGATTATTCAGATTTTCTATATATACACACGTTCAAGGAATTTCATCTAAATTAACAAATTTATTGGCATAAAGCTCTTCATAATATCCTCGTATTATCTTTTTAGTATCTATAGAATCTGTAGTGATTTGCTTTCTTTATTGGTCAAGCCCTGCTGATCAATTTTATTGATTTTTGTGTTTAAGTTTTGAGTCTCACTTTTTTCTATTTGATTTGTGTTTAGTTTGCTCTTATTTTTCTGGGCTCTTAAGGTGGAAGATTAGATCATAATTTAAACTTTTTTTTTTCTTTTCTAACATAACCACTTAAAGCTATGCATTTCCCTTCAAGCACTAAATGCCTTACCTGCATCCCTTGTATTTTGCCTTGTCATATTTTTATTTACTTTAGGTCAAAACATTTTCTAAATTACCATGTGATTTCTTCTTTGTCCCATGGATTATTTAGAAATGTAGAGCTCAGTATCGAAATACTTGGTTATTTTTTTCCAAGCACCTTTTTATTATAGATTTTTTAATTTAATAGAATTGCAATAAGAGAAAATACTCTGTGTCATTTCATTTTCTTTAAATAAAATTTATTGGGACTTGTTTTATGATCTATCATAATGTCTGTCTTGGTGAATGTTTCATGTATTCTTGAAAAGGATATGTATTCTTCAATTATTGGGTAAAGTGTTAAAAATGCCAACTTAGTTAAATTGGTTGATAGTGTTAAGTCTTCTATATCCATATGATTCTGTTTACTTTTTTTTTCTTTCAATTACTGAGGGAGGATTGTTGAAATCCTTAACTATAACTTTGAATTTGTCTATTTCTCCTTTCAGGTCTGTCACTTTTTACTTCATGTATTTTAAAACTCTGTTATTAGGTGAATAAACATTTAGGAGCATTGTGTCTTTTTGATGAATCATCCCATTTATAATTAGGAAATAGTTTCCTTTCTCTCAGATACTTATTGTCCTGAAGTTACATTGTCTGATATTAATATTTCCTTCACAGTTCTCTTGTGATTAATGTTTGTAAGGTGTATCTTCTTCCATACTTTAAATTTAAAGTGCCCCTCTTCTAAACAGCATGCAGTTAAGTCTTGCATTAAAAAAAAAAAATCCAGTCTGGCAATCTTTGCCTTTTAGGCACAACATTTAGTCTATTTGCATTTAATGTAATTATTGATATGAGATGGGTTACTTTTGTAATCTTGTTTTTCTGTTTGTCCTATTAGTTAATTATAAAGGAGAACTTATTCCCTTTCTCAACAAATCCCTTGTATGCCCAGGCCATAGCATTCTGAAAAATGACATGATGGGAGAATATTTGAACATGAAATAAAGAGAGAACACTAATTTCCTTACCCGATTTTATTATTCAGCTTCTTGGTCACAAATTTCTCTGACCATGCTTATTTCTCCTTTATGAACAGTATCCAAAAATAATGGTAATGGTTCACCTTGAGTGTTTTATAGTATTATTTGTATAATAAGCCCCTTCAGGTTGCTCAACCATCAAAGTCTTAGGAAATCTGTACCCTGTGGAAAGATTGCAGCTTTCCTTTCACTTTGTAGAAAAATCCTCCCTTATAAATAACCTAATCTTATATTTGGAGATGAATCTATACGCATAAACAGTTGATGTATAATTTTCACATCTGCTACCAAGAGCAGATAAATCCTGAGATCAATTTGGTTATGGGCAAAGAAGAATATAAATTAATTGGAAAAAATTAGCTCAAAACTTTGGTGTCCTATAACAATTTCTTAATAAATTATGAACTTGGGAATGTGTGATTATTTATTCTACTTCTCATTGCTCCTCTTCTTTATTTTGCTGCCTCTAGAAGGTTAGTAATGGAGGTGAAAGTCAAGTTGGCTTTTTGGAAGATTTCCAGTAAATAAAGTAATGATATTTATAAGAGAAATATGAAAAATTTTCCAGATAAATTAGAACAGAAATAATGTTCTAGATTTTGCAAATTATATTCATCCTTTATATGTTTATTTAGTATTAATATACTACAGTTACTTAATGGTTTGTGTGATCGTTAAGTGCAACATTATGTATTATAAAATTCATAAGAAGGAAGGGCAGGTAAAACTTTGCCCTGTATTGAAGAAATCTGACAAATGCACTAAGTTAAATTAAATTTAATTTCCTTTTAGAATTTCAGCAAGTAAACATTACTCCATCAAAATTTATTTTGAAGCCAAGACCAAAAAGGAGTAAACGGCAGGTATGTATTCACAGTGGTGTGTCGTGTTATTTTAAAACAATTGTCAACTGCCAGTCATTTGAATCTACAGTAAGTCTGTGTGAGAGGGTGAGTATTAGTTTGGGAATTTGTCAGGGTGTGATAAACCGTAAGGGTGATGGATCTGAAGAAGCAGTAGAAAGGGGGCCATGTTGTTTCACAGATGCAAAAAGGATTCAAGATAGTGGTGATAATATGTTTCTTCATCATATTATGGGTTATGAGGCTCCTGCTTGTGGCACCTTGGGTTCTTTCTACCATAGGCTTCTTTCCTTGCCCAGATATGTACCACATCGTGGAATCCACTTGTATGGTTTATATCCTTGTATTTATTCCCTGGAAGATAACCCCTTAGGAATGAATCAATCAGGTTGTGAAGCCACAGAATGCTTTTGTCTCACTTGGGCAAAACTTTGGAGTCCAGGATATAAAATTAGGTCATGGACTTTATGATTGTTCGACTGGATCTTGGACTAGGTAATAATAACTGTTGATATGACGCTTTAAACCAAATGAAGTCGGTACTATTATTCCCCTTTCACTGAAAGAAAAATGATGACTCTGTGACATGTGAAAATGACTTACTCGAATCATAGAGCTGGTAAACAGTTTAGACAAAATTAAGAGTTGTGGCCATCAGAATCAAGATATCACCACTGTGGTGGTGTGGGCAGGAGAGATGGTTATTAAAAACACAAGATGAAGGGAATAGATCTCTAGTAAGATCAAGAAGTTGAAGGAACCAGGTATCTTCTTTTTATTACCTTGAAATAAAATATATGTTTACAGACAGATTTTTATTGTGAATAATTATTGCTAAATTTTATTGAATACTTACCTTGTACCTGGCCCTATTATAAGAATTTTAACTATATTAACACATTTAACCCTCAAAAACCTTAAGAGGAAGGTATTATCACAGGTTAAGTATCCCTTTTCCAAAATGCTTGGGACCGGAAGTTTTGCACATTTTGATTTATTTTTTGGCAGGGGGAGGATTTCAGAATATTTACATTATACTTAGTGTTTTAGCATCCCTAATTCAAAAATTAGAAATCTGAAATGCTCCAGTGAGCATTTCTTTTGAGTGTCCTATTGGTGCTCAAAAAGTTTTTCATTCTGGAGCATTTGGGATTTTGGATTTTCAGATGAGAGATACTTAACCTATAATATCCTCATTTTACTGATAAGGACATTGAGCATAAGAGGATCAAGAAACTTTCCCAAAGCCACATAGGGTGACTCTGTGGTAGAGCTGGGATTCTGACCTAGGAAGCCTGGTCTCAGAGAGGTGCTTATAACCGCATATACGCCATATATTGCCTCTCAGACCCATGTGTTCCATGAATTACTACTGTGACCTTTATAAGTGTTGTGAATGTTTATATATATATACTCATATATAAACATATGTGTGTGTATATATATATATATGAATAGGTAAAGACATACGTATCTTGAGGCCCAGTTAGATAAAATAATTACCATCAGGATTTAATGTGAAACAGTATTTTTTTGAATTATGGACTGAAAGAATAGGACAATATTCTTTTGACATGTACCCTGAAGTTCCTCATAAACATCTCAGCATCTAATCATTTGCTAAGTAGACAAAACCTTGATTTCTCTTTCTGAGAAAGCCATGGACCCATAGAGGTGAAGTACTATAAAACTGTGTGGCTAATATGGCAACTCTTTGACATTAACAAAATGTTGGGATTTGTTGAAAAATTTGCTGTATTAACTAGTCTCTCACAAGTAGCAAAGCAGCTCCTGTTGCCCTAAAAACACCCCCCTCCCTTAAAAAAGAAAAGAAGACTCTCATCATTGGATGCACTTTAGTGTTATTCTTTGGTTTCCAACCTCAGAATTGTATCTATTATTCCCTATCACCTTGGTGTTATAATAGTTTTTTTTTTTTAAGTTTTTAAGTTTAGGATTGCAGTTAGCAATGACAAAATCCATGTGGGAGCATTTTTAAAGTTGGTTTTAACTGCAACACTCAAAACAAACATATATGTATTGATTTAAGTTTGATTGTATACCCTTATCGCAAAAATGGACCTTGGGCAAGTGAGCAAAACGTTTTCTGGAAAAGTTTATATTGAACTATGGCATAAAGGAAAAAGCTAGCTTTACAAACCTTGTTAATGATTATATTATAGGCTAACTGTAGAGAACAAAGAGAATAGCTGCCTTAGTGGCTTTTCCTTAGTGGCTTTTCCCTGTAACTTTCATTGGTCATTATTTCGAAAGAGAAGAAAACTTGTTGGTGAGCAGAGAAAGCTAGCTGTAATAGATAACTCAAGACTGCCTGGGAGTTCTCAAAGCTATTCTAACAAAGACCCCATGTCATTTGGGGATCCCCTGAAACGTCCTAGATGAAGGCACATGACTCACTCCCAGTTTGGAGATTAAATAATAAAAGTGCCAATCACTCCAGTCCCTGTACCCTCTCGGAGATCCTCAGAGGACCTGAAATTAAACCCAAAAGAATGCTCTTCATATGTTACTATTTTCAAGATAGACTGTTAAATGAAAATCGCTGGAGGCAGAAAGGAGTGAAATAAACGGAAGTACAAAATAAAGGACATATTCACATTTAGTTTTATGTGCAGAAGTATTTTTGGAAGGAACCAGTAACTTGCTATATCCATTGTGGGGGAAGGACTAGGAACTGAGTAGGTGGAGAATAGAGGTGAGAGGAAGACATTCATCTTCTGCCCTTTTATACTTTTTAAATTTTCTGAGTCATGTAAATTTATTACCAACTCAGAAACTAAGCAAATTGATGAAAAATTTTTTAAATGCTGAAGGAATAAAAAGGGAAAATTTTGTTTTGTCAGTTTCTTCCATATTTTTTAGCTTTTCGCAGCCAAGTTTAGAGGGCTGAATTAGGTGCTGTTTCCTTTCCTGTGTTACAGCTTCGTCGATATCCTCGTAATGTAGAAGAAGAAACCAAATACATTGAACTGATGATTGTGAATGATCACCTTATGGTAGGATTTGCTGTTGTTTTTAAGCCTGTTTGTGCCTAGGGTAAAACTGGTGAGTGCAAAAATATGTTTAGAAAAAACAAGAAGCCCATCAAGTTGTAACCTGGAGAAGGTATTTGTATAATCAAATATATTTGTTAACTAGCAACAACCTGCAATTAGGAAATATTCATAGGTGGAAATAACTAGCAGTAACTTTTGAGTTTTCAAAAATACTTTGTGACTCATAGTATCAACTTTTGAGTTTGCTTGATTAGTAGAGGTACTAATATTTGAATCTCCACTTAATAAAATGACAAGGTTTAAAAAAATGGAAATTCCATTATATATTGAAAAAGTGAGGCACCAATTATGAGACATTTTAGTTCGCGGGGTACACCTTTATCTTAATAAAAGAAAAGCAGCTTTTCTATTTTGGTCTTACTGTGCAGAAATCATATGGAAATGCTTACATAGCTAACCATTTAGCTTAGGATGAAGTTTCTTAGGATAAGAACTTGACAAAACTTTCATGTTGTTGAATCAAATTATTTTGACCCATAGTGTTTATATTCAGTTAATGGGCATATTGCAGGCAGTATGACTACATTCATAGCACAGCAATGAGTTATAATGCTAATTGTTCTATGTAACCAAAGTTTTAAACTAAAAATGTTTAATGATGCATATTGCTGAATTTTACTTAAGTTCAGGTACAAGTGCATTTTAATTTACTTTGAACTACTTATTTGAGGAAAAAATGATCATTTATTTATGTATGATTAAATACATAATTTAGATCTTAATTATTACAGTTGCTAATAATAATAATAACAACACAATCAGGATTGAGTGCTGCTTCCTTGTTCAAGCTAGGTCTAAGTTTTATCTTTCCACCTATTTGAATCCAGTGAATGTTTCTGTTCCCTAGGATTTTTATAAAATAAGTTATAACAACATATATTTTGAACATTTTAGATCGTCACAAATTCAGATATCCATAGACATCAGTAGACATATAACGTAAGTGAAATTAACCAGATATAAGACAGTATTAGGTGGGTAAGGCCTGTGGTGAAATGAATGGTGCATGGCCTGTCTAAGGGGAGCAACTGCCTCTCATTGTTTGCCAGTTATTACCAGGTGAGAATGCTAATTTTAACTGAAGCCAGAAATTGGATTTTACATGATATTTCCTGATTTTTAAAACACGATTGAGACCAACCAAAGATATATGTGATCCACATCTGCCCTGTATGCCACCTCGTTGTGACCTTTATCTTAGAGGTTTCTTCTTGCTGAATAAGTCTTGCAGAACTTTTAAATTTGTTTGCTTTTAGCAGTGTTCACATCCACTTTACTGTCTATACCCCTACTTAGATTTGTATGTCTTGCAATTCATAGACAACTTTCATATGTTTTATCATTTTGAATAACAATCCCAATAAAAATAAACTTATGAAATGGATGGATTGGGTATTTTTTACTTCATCTCCCAGATGAATAAATTGAGGCTTCAATCCTTTAAGAGACTTGTCTCAGGCAACACAGCAGATAAAGAACTTGATCTCAGCTCTGACTCTGACATTGTTTTACAGACAACACATTTTTACAGAAAAGATTTTTTTTTTTTTTACATTTTTAGGGATCTTTCAATTGCACCATGTTTTCTCTGATGAGATGATTGTTTTCTGATCACTTTGCAAGACCTTCACTTGTTTTCTTTTGCTTTCAGTTTAAAAAACATCGGCTTTCCGTTGTACATACCAATACCTATGCGAAATCTGTGGTGAACATGGCAGATTTAGTAAGTATCAACCCCGTTCATTATTGCCCTAGAAGATTCTTATTTCCTAATTGCTAATAGAATGGATAATATGATTCTTATAGTTTTACTGCTCTATGTTGCACTTCAGCCAAGGTGTCTAGTAAGTTCCGGGTGACCTTGCAATAGACTTTATTGACTTTGATGTCTGGCTGGGAAGAGGAACTGGTCGAAGTTATCCATAGATATGCTTGAAATTCCATCCTATGTTTTTCACACTGTAAAAACAAAGGTTGTGTCATACCCCTAACAAAGGTATTCACAGTGACTTATAACGATGGAGAAACAGTACAATAGTTGTGCCTTTAAGAGTGCCTGGTGCTGTGGCAGTGATGGAACTAAATAATTCCACTATACCTCCATACTTCCCAAATCTTCCCTTGATGAGGCTGCGCTAGTACCTTCTTCACAAGTCTAATCAGAGCCAGTCAGCTTGTATAGAAATTATTTCTTTGGAGAGTCTTCATTGCTCCATTTTTGGCTAGGGGAACTCAAGCATGCATGAATTCTTTTTCCAGGATACCAGAAAACAGATTCAGGTGGAACCTTGAATAGGGTGCAGGTATTTGTCAAAAAGGGATCTTTTGTTTCCAAAAAGTGCTCTGTTCTTTGGGTATTGGTCAACAATTTCATTCTCTGTTACTCAAGGGAAATGCATGTAAATTAGAAAGTTATCTCCCTTTAACTAAAACTCAAAGAAGTTTCCATGAAAGGAGTTTTGTAGTCCTGTTCATAAACTATTTGATTTTACCACATGTACAGCTGATGTGTTCATTTTATTAATATACTAGATATATAAAGACCAACTTAAGACCAGGATAGTATTGGTTGCTATGGAAACCTGGGCGACTGACAACAAGTTTGCCATATCTGAAAATCCATTGATCACCCTACGTGAGTTTATGAAATACAGGAGGGATTTTATCAAAGAGAAAAGTGATGCAGTTCACCTTTTTTCGTACGTAACTTCTGTAATGATGTATTACTTTTTTTGATTCCATGTTAAATGCTTTATTGTGACTGAAATGTATCCTTTCTGCTACATAACACAATTAGGATTTGACATGGCAGATGGCAGATAGATTTGGAAAAAGTTTTCAAGTATAGATTGCTTAAAATTGCCATGAAAATGTAAAAGTTTTAATTTTGAGTTATTTTATTATTTAATGTTTAATTTTTCAAGATATTTAAATAGAGCATTTACTGAGTAAAAATACTGCTAATACTCATATATAGTATTCTTAACTACAGATAAATTATATTCTTTAAAGTTACTGTCTTTTAAATGTTAATGTTTTCTCTGTTTTTGGTTCTAAGATGAGAGCTTAGTATTTCTGGAATTTATTTTTAATTTTTTCTCACTCTTATGTTCTTTTTTTGATAGCATGCATATTTGACGTAATAGCAAATTATATATAGTAGAATTTTAAAAATCTATCATCTAAAGTCAGAGCTGTTGAAGAAAGTTATAAAAGGAAGAAAAGATGTATTTTGGGGTAACTTTATATATAATTCCAAATTTAGAGAAAAGTTGCAAGAATACTACAAGGAAATTGCATATGCCCTCTATTCAGATTCATCAATTATTCACATTTTCCCCATTTGTTTCATAATTTTCTTCCATTCTCCCTCCCTTCCTTCCATTCATCCATCCTTCAGTTTTTTTTTTGTTTTTTTTTGTTTTTTTTCCTGAACCTCTTGAAAGTAAGTTGAAGACACTTACTGGGGATTTATTATTAAATAGTATATATTCTCTAAGAGTAAAAAGACATTCTCTTATATAACCACAGTAAATTATTAAAACCAGAAAATTTAACACAAACATAATACTTTTATGTAACCCATGGTCTATATTCAAATTTCACCAATTACCTCAATAATGTCTTTTAAAGCTAATTTTCCCCATCCAAATCCAATCCAGGATCACACATTGCATTTAATCATCATGTCTCTTTAGTCTCCTTTAATCTGAAAGATTTCCTCAGCTTTCCTTTGTCTATTTTGAGTTTAATACTTTTGAAGAGTATAGGCCAATTATTTTATTGACTGTTCCTCATTATGGGAATGCCTGATGTTAAGATATGTATTTTTGGCAGAAATACCAGAGAAGTGATTTTGTGTCTGTCTCAGAGTACATCATATCAACCAATTATTTTTTAATAGATATACTTCAATTTAAGATATTTATTAATCTTGCAAGAAAACATCCCTCATAAACCTTTTTCTTTGGTTACATGTATAAACAATTTTCACATTCTTCCCTTGCAATGTGAATATATTGTATAGAAATCTTATGTATAGAGAAAATAAATGTAGTAAACTAATAATGAGGGGTGCTATGATGTTTGAACTGTGAACAGTAAGCATTTTTCATTTCCTTTTCTAAAAGGGGAAGTCAATTTGAGAGTAGCCGGAGCGGGGCAGCTTATATTGGTGGGATTTGCTCGTTGCTGAAAGGAGGAGGCGTGAATGAAGTAGGTGTGAACATCTGTACAATACAAAGTGGTATGATGGCTGAAAATGTTTTCCTCATACTTAAGAGATAATTTCTCAGTATTCACATACTCCAGATGTTAGATTGCTATATTACAAATCAGTATGGTGGCCTGGCACAATGGCTTATTTCTGTAATTCCAGCACTTTGGGAGGCTGAGGTGGACAAATTGCTTGAGATGAGGAGTTTGAGACAAGCCTGGGTAACATGGCAAAATCCTGTCTTTATCAAAAATACAAAAATAGGTTGGGTGTGGTAGCGTGTGCCTGTAGCCCCAGCTACTGGGGAGGCTGAAGTGGGAGGATGGCTTAAGCCTGGGAGGCAGAGGTTGTATTGGGCCCAGATTGCGCCACTGCACTCCAGCCTGGGCAACAGAGTGAGACCCTGTCTCTAAATAAATAAATAAATAAATAAATAAATAAATAAATAAAATTAAAAATATAAAAAACTAATATGGTTACTGTAAGTGACCAGAGGACAGACTGGGGAAATAATGGCAGATAATATGGGATAATTATTATATATTCATGTTATGCTTGGAATAATTTCCAGATTAAGCTACTTACAGATTAAATTGAGAGAATCTTTACCTTTACCTTCATTGAAAATAAGGCCCTATTTATCACTTTGAATGATTTTCCAGGGAATTGAATAATTCCCTGAAGCATCAGGTTGTCACCTAACAACCCAACTGGATATTTTTTCCTTAGTATTTAACAGATTTGGGGATAAGAAAAATAGAGTAGGTTTTCCAAAGGGTTTCTTTTACTCCTAAGGCACTAAACCTACTAGAGATGATCAAAAAGAAAATACTTGCATTTTTAAGAGGCTGCAAATTGAAAAAGATATCCTCAGTTCTTCTTAAGTTTCTATTGGCCGAAGATCATCACTACCTCCTGTTACTCATTTCATTTGTTTTCTGAAGCTACATTCTATTCCACTTGAGGGGAATTTCAGGATTACAACTGGATACAAAGATGAACAAGTTCTAAAAAAATTTACAGATTTAATTTTATTTTGTATTATCCAAAAGACGGATTTAATTATATACCAATATTGAATTTTTCAAGAATGTCACTGGTGAAATTTGGACTCAGATATACATTTCCAAAACCCAAAAGCTGTGATTATTTCCTGACTTCTAGTATTCCCTGTAAGACCTAATCAAACATGGATTTTTGTTTCTTACTACTTTTTCCCAAATGCATATTCAGTGCTGGCTACAGTGTGTTCAGCCTCTTCTAAAGAAATTGCTTAGAAATTACTTATTTTCAGCGATATTGTGACATTTTTCTCTGGTTCTTTGTCAGTGACAATTTGGATTTACATATATTTTATTTTTGTTTTTGTTTTTCAGTTTGGGAAAACTGATTTAATGGCTGTTACACTTGCCCAGTCATTAGCCCATAATATTGGTATTATCTCAGACAAAAGAAAGTTAGCAAGTGGTAAGTTTTAGTACATGTGTGGTTAGTTGTATTTAAAATAGACTATTTGTGAAATATTTTGGAGAGTAAAATTTTTTGATTTAGTTGCTTGATGAAAGGAATTTGAACGATAGTAAAAGATAAACATCCAGCGCACAAACTGTTGTTTTCCAAAGTAATACAAAGAAATATTTACATTATAGGTGGAAATTTCTATGACTATAATAAACTTTAAAGCCGTGTGATAATAAATTCAAGCTGAATTTAACCTTATAAGGGACAAAATTAGCCCAGTTTGTTCATCATTAATGGTTTAGTAGAGAATTCTAGGCATATAGGTTTCAGACGTACTGGTTTTTTTATGTTTTATTTAAAACATCTCTGAACATGGCCACAGAGGTAGAGTTTCCCTGTCAGGATCAGACCTGATAAAAAGCTTAGTTAATATATGGACCTAGTAAAATATGCTAGGTTTGGTATCTATGAAGAATGTCTTTTCTCAAGTAGGTAAAGTCACTTTACCCTGAATGGTCAAATACTATGTATTTACCTTAAAAATTTGATTATTTCCATTTTTATTTCAGTAACAAACATCATAAATATTATTTTTATAATCTGGAATCCCAGCACTTTGGGAGGCTGAGGCAGGCGGGTGGATCACCTGAGGTCAGGTGTTCGAGACCAGCTTTGCCAACATGGTGAAACCCTGTCTATACTAGAAATAGAAAAATTAGCCGGGTGTGGTGGCAGGCTCTTATAGTACCAGCTACTCGGGAGGCTGAGGCAGGAGAATCACTTGAACCCAGGAGGCGGAGGTTGCGGTGAGCCAAGATCACACCATTGCACTTCAGCCTGGGCCACAGAGCGAGACTCCATCTCAAAAAAAAAAAAAAAAAAAAAAAAAAGCTATTACCATGTATAGAGTACCTATTATATGCCAGATGATTGAGTGCCAGTATTACTTCCATTTAGATACTCATTTAATTCTCCAGGTAATTCTACAGGACACCCATTTTTAGCCCCATTTTACAGATGAAGTGACTAGCTCTTACAAGTATAATGTCTCTAAGATTACACATATATCAAATGGCAAACTCAGGTTTTGAACCCTAGTATTTCTGATTCTGAAACCCTTCTGCCTAACCAATAATATATTACACTGCCTTCTACCAGAAACCTTGGTGTGTGCAGAGACTTTCAAAAATGGTCAAGAAATTATAATAGTTCTCATAAAGGCCTGTGAAACTGAGATCCTGTAATAGTGCCATAAAGTTCTTCATTCTTCCATTGGTATTTGATTGTCTTTCATTTAAGCCATTTTAAATAAATGGTTTAAATATGGCCATTTGTTAAAATACAAGGGTTTTTTTGGGGCAAAAATTATATAATCTTGATAGGGTCAAAGTATATTTTTGTTGCATATTACATAAAAAAACTATTGTAAGATGAATTAGAAAGAAGTTACTACTTTTTAAAAGGCATTTTAAGGAATAAAGTGGAGATAATTATTTTAAAACAGAAACTACTTTAATGCAACTGTGTTCACTTTATAACAAGGCATGTGTATTAATTTTCTCTTAGGTGAATGTAAATGCGAGGACACGTGGTCCGGGTGCATAATGGGAGACACTGGGTGAGCCACTTGTATTTGAAAATAACTCAGTCTTACATTCCCTGCTGTGCTGTTGTCTTCTTAGGAATATGACACTCAATAACTTAGTGCATGGAATCTAGCACTTATAAAATATTTTTGCAAAATAACCTCTTATTTATAAAAACAATTGATGTCAATTAAGTTGGTAGACCTCAAAGATTTTTTTTTCTTTAGCCTTACATCTAGGCTATAAACGTAAGAAATGAGGGACAACTTTGTTTTTGGTGGCTTACCTGCTAATTCCCTTTCCTTTTATTTCCTTCAATTCTAATTAAATGGTTTATAAACAGTAGTGTGCTGGTAAGTTAACTCTTGAAAACAAAAATTAGAAAACAGCCTGGATTTGTAGCTTTCTCACATTTCTGAGGTGTAAATAGTCCCACAATGGCTGACTTCAAGCCATTACTGATGGCTTCATAATGTGGTATTACTGAAAAGGGAGTTGGGAAGAGAAATGTACAATCTGCTCTCCCGAGAAAGGTTTTCATTTTTATACTGTCCTCCCTTTCACACGCTCAGTCATCAATGCTTGTCTTTTATTCTTGTAAATAAATTTTACAGTTATTCCTTTTATTCCAAGCTTATCATTACTGCCCTAGTTTAAACTTTGACCATCTTTTGCTGTTATTATTTTAATAACATTTCAAATACTGAGTATAAATTCGGTTCAGTGTTTGGGTGATGGGCGCACCAAAATCTCACAAAACGCCACTAAAGAACTTACTCTTGTAACCAAATACCACCTGTTCCCCCAAAATCTTTGGAAATAAAAAAATTTGGAATGTTATTAAAATAATAACAGCAAAAGATGGTAAAAGTTTAAACTAGGACAATAATGATAAGCTTGGAATCATCATCATTAAAAATGTATGAAGAATAAAACAGTGGATACTTATACACCCATTATCCAGCTTTTAAAAAGTAAAATACTGCATTTGTGGTTAAATCTCCCTTCTGTCCTCCATTATTAATTCCCAGCCCCAGCCAAGGTAACCACCATCTAAGTTTGGTTCCTATCATTCTCAAGTCATTCTTTATACTTTTACTGTATAGTATGTATGTGTGTTGGAGTAAAACATAGCATTTGGTTTGCATGTTTTCAGTTTATGTGAAATACATCATGCTGTATGTATTCTTCTGTGACTTGCTGTTTTTTATCAATATGTTTGTGAGATTTATCCATCCTGTTAATATACAATTCTTGTTCATTAAATGCCATTCTCCTGCTGAGAAATTGTGTGAGTCTCTGATGTCTAAAGAATGTGGTTCATAATCTTAACTTCATTATTTAGATGCCCATAATCTTTCTTCATTTTCATTTGCAATCTCCTTTTCCCCTACTATTCATGATTGGTTTGCTTACCATAATAGTACAGGAGTTTCTAGTTTTTTCAATTTGCTAACCATAATACTACATAGATTTTCAGCTTCTTAAATACTTGCTCACCATAATTGTACATTAATTACCAACTTCATTTGATTTCCTCAATATATTCTATTTATCTGGAATGCCTTTCCCTTTTTTCTCTATCTAACCAGATTTCTAACCATCTGAGATTTGTTGTAATTTTAACCCCTGCATTAGAATTTAATCATGTGTACTTATGCTTCCTTTCACAAATTAGTTATAAATTTTTGAGGGATTACTTATTATACTAACACATATTTCAGACCTCACATCATAATCCTTTGTACAAACTTGATTTTCAACAAATATTTCTTGATTGTGTTTGAATTTTGAACTCGCAGGATATGTATAACGAGGAAAATAAATGATAGAGGAAATATATATGCAAACATCTGTTTAAAATATTTTTCCAGCCAGGCATGGTGGCTCATGGCTGTAATCCCATCACTTTGAGAGGCTGAGGCAGGCAGATCACTTGAGCCCAAGAGTTTGAGACCAACCTGAGCAACATGGTGAAACTACATCTCTACAAAAAATACAAAAATTAACCAGTCGTGGTGGCACACACCTGTAGTCCCAGCTACTTGGGAGGCTGAGGTGGGAGGATCGCCTGATTCCAGGGAGGTTGAGGCTGCGGTGAGCCATGATTGTGCCACTGAATGCCAGCATGAGTGACAGAGTGAGATCCTGTCTCAAATAATAATAAAGTAAAATATTTCTCCAAAAATCTTTGGACTTTTTGTTTAGTAATGACAGGAAATGATAAAAGTTCTATAGTTGCAGTTTCAACAATTACGAAATTTCATACTAGAGATTCTTGTCTTTTAAATCCTACATAGTATATTTGATTATCCTGATTATTAAAATGTTTAATAGATAATCTGCATAGCACTAAGCATAATATACAGTGAAGTCAAATGGCTACCTTCAGATACGTACAGCTGTGTACATTGGAATTCTTCTTAAAGAGATGCAAGCAAGAGAAAAGCCGTTTGTATAAAACTATGGGATATGACGCTATAATTTGATTGCACCAAATATCACCAAACAGCAGTAATTATGGACATTTGTTCCCATGGGTACGTTCCCTACCATTTCTACTTTCTGAAGTTCTGTACAGCTAAATATTAGAAAGCAGGGTTGAAATGAATACCTTCAGTCCTATTTAAAGGTATGAAAATTAAAATTTGAAGAATGCACTGAATACAATAGCTATATTATTCTGTGAAACAGAAGTTGTGGGGACAGAGGCAGGAGAGAGACATGATATCTGCCTTCAGATAATTGAAGGGGCTATGTTAAGGCAGAGGAATAAGACTTTACATAGTTAAGAATACAGAACTGTTCAGAAGTTAGAGGTCAGATGTGGCAAAATAAAGGTAAGAACAATCCACAAATGTTCAACTGTTCATATATTTTAAAAGCTTCCCTGTTGGGGAGTTTACTGTCACTGCCAAGGGTTGGAGAACAGACTGAGCTTCCTCCCAGCTCTGCAGTGGGCAGGAGGGTGGGCTTGGCTGTGACCCCTGAGGGTGCTTTTACAGAGAGGCCTCTTTGTAGGAGGCTTAACTAGACTTTGACTTCTAAGAGTCCTACACTAAGAGTTAGTGACTTTTTACTTTGGCAGTATGGATCCAACTCAGGTTTTGACCAGTAGGATAAAGAGGGACTTTGGGGCTGGGCATGGTGGCTCACGCCTGTAATCCCAGCACTTTGGGAGGCCGAGGTGGGTGGATCCTCTGAGGTCAGGAGTTCGAGACCAGCCTGGCCAACATGGCGAAACCCCGTCTCTACTAAAAGTACAAAAATTAGCTGGATATGATGGCAGGCGCCTCTAATCCCAGCTACTAAGGAGGCTGAGGCAGGAAAATTGCTTGAACCCAGGAGGCAGAGGTTGCAATGAGCCAAGATCATGCCACTGCACTCCAGCCTGGGTGACAAGAGTGAGACTCCATCTCTAAATAAATAAATAAATAAATAAATAAATAAATAAATAAAAGGAGGGGCTTTGAAAAAAGACCTATTTAAATTTGATAACTCTGGCAGAGATATGTTGGATAGATTAGAGGAAAAGGTGATAAAAACATTGGCTGGAGTAAAAGCATTGCAAGGAAAAAAGGAAGTAATATTGTTACCATGAAACAGATGGCTTGGTTGGTCACTTACTGGGTATCAACTTAATTATCATAACCAAGGAAGATTAAATGAAAGGGATTTTATTACTTTTAACAAGCAAGTAGAATACCATGGATAGTTCCCAAAGCAGTGTATCCCTGAGCTGGAGGCTGTGTCAGGTTTTATAAGCATAGGGTAATGAGGTGTGATCTGATTGGATCTTGCAATGAGGTGGTGCTGGGAGGCATGATCGGACTGGATGCCAGAGCTCAATCTGATTGGATACTGGATCCTGTCATTCAGTGTATATTAGTTTGTTTTTCATTGTTATAAATGAAAACCTGAGATTGGGTAATTTATAAAGAAAAGAGGCTTACTTGGCTCACAGTTCTGCAGGCTGTACAAGCATGGCACCAGCATCTGCTTGGCTTCTGGTGAGATCTCAGGAAGCTTTTACTCATGGTAGAAGGCAAGGGGAAGCAGGTGTGTCACATGGCAAGAGAGGGAGCAGGGGAGAAGGGAGGGGGTGCTAGGCTCTTTTTAACAACCGAATCTCGTGTAAACTTATTACCAGCCATTTCCTCTTGGAGGGCACTAAGCCATTCTTGGGAGGACTCCCTCATTAGACCCCACTCTCAACATTGGGGTCATATTTTAACATGAGATTTTGAGGGGACAAACATCCAAACTTTATCATCGTGTCTGCTGCTTGATTCAGTCCCTGCTTCTCAGCTGAGCACTTAGGTTCCTCCTGTGGTTGCACCATTGGTTCATCTGAGCATGGTCAGGCTATGTGACCTAAGGGTCCACGGCAACTGAAAAACAATTCATAACATTATTACATAAAAGTTGAACCAGATTGGTCTGATGCAGCCACAATGTGTGTAAGAAACTTTCAAATGAAGAATAAAGTTTGTCTTGTCAGAATTTGTTACTTGAAAAAAACCTGGTTCCTTTGCCTGGCAAGAACAAACAACTCTTCACAGGAATGCAAGTTTTGGCTGGCCCAGTGGCTCATGCCTATAATCCCAGAACTTTGGGAGGATCGCTTGAGCCCAGGAGTTCGAGACCAGCCTGGGCAACGTGGGGAAACTTTGTACAAACTTAAAAATTAGCTGGGCATGGTGGCACATGCCTGTAGTCCCAGCTACTCGGGAGGCTGAGGTGGGAGAATCACTTGACCCCAGGAGGTCCAGGCTGCAGTGAGTGGAGATCACACCACTGCACTCCAGCCTGGGCAACAGAGTGAGACCCCTGCCTGAAAAAAGAAAATGCAGGTTTTGATCAGTGAGAGTTTTATTACTAGTCACAAGTAAAGAGAGCTCTGAGAGTATTCACTAGACGAGTGTCTTCCTGAGGGAAAGCAACAGGAGGGTTTTATGGGGAGGTGGAGGGGGGAGAGGGTGTGTCATTGCATGCAGAGGAGGGGTCCCAGTGGTGCAGATGCAGTGAATCATTATGCCAGCACATAGGTTTCAAGTTATAGTAATGAAGCTATGGTTCCTCCCGTGGTGGAGACTTTAGCATGGTAATGAGGAAAGTTTACTTGGGTTCATTTATAAATTGTCAGTGTTTGTCGGGAGCTGGTTCCAGCTGACTAGGTGACCACATTCCACACAAAGTGTGGGAAAGAGCAGGCTGCAAGGCAGGAGGCTGTAAAACAGGCTGATTGCTCAAGTTGATTAAATTCCTGTAGTATCTGGAAACCCTCCTTGTCTGCTTAGAGGAAGTGGAGGTGAAGGAAGTAAAGGAGTTCAGACAACTTAAACCCAAGACAGCTTTATTTGGAGAGTTTGGCATGAAGCCCTTTAAAAATGAGTTTAGGGTAAATAATCATTATAAATTCCATTAATTAATAACAAAGTATTAACTACTGTGTTTAGAAGAAGTAGGGATATAAATGGACAGTTTTTGCAGGCTACTGGGAAACTTTATAAAAACTACTCATTCTTACCTTGTTTTTTTTCCCTTTTTATCAAAGCTCAATGTAAAACAATATTTAAAAAATATAGAAAATAAAATCTTGGTGGCTTTTCTCCAGTAATAACCATGGTTGATATTAAAATACTGCTGTATTTTAATTCAGTATTTAACACTGTATAGTCAGCATTTTTCTGAGTCTGTTCTTCAATACTATGATCATTAATAACTACATGGTATTCTGTTTTATTAATATATATCACAGTTTAGTTATATATATATCACAGTTTAGTTAACAGTTCTTACTGTTGAACATTTAGGTTATGCTTTCGTTATATCCTGTTATAAATTGTGCCACCACAAATATCTTTGTTCGTACATCTTTGTGCACGTAGCCAATCATTTCCTCAAGAAAAATTTCTAAAAGTAGAATTACTAGATCCAAAGGTGTGCTCTTTTTGAAGATTCTTAATGCATGTTGCCAAATTATTCTCTAATCAAGATCTTTTTTCTATTGACCTTTTATTAGTTTTTTTAAGAATACATTTTTTTAAAAAAAACCTCAAACCTGAAGAAGAGTTGCAAGATTAATAACAAAGAAACTTTTTGTCCGGTGGATCATAAATTGCTTAGTATGCCATTACTCCTAAATACCTTACTTTGCATTTTCTACAAAGAAGTACATCCTCCTACATAACCACTATACAACCAGTAAAATTATCTAATTCTTAGCCATCATTCAGGATTGTCCCAGGTTTCAATACTGTCATTTGTAGCAAAAGGAATCACATTTGGTTTTTGTGTCTCTTTAGCTTCTTTCAGTCTGGAACAGCTCCTCTTTCTTTGACTTTTAAGACCTGACATATTTATATTATAGGTCAGTTATTTTGTGGAATGCTCTGCAGTTTGGATTCTAGCTCAGTTTTAATATTTAGGGAAGACTCATTATAAAATAAATTTTTCCCAACTCTCCTTGATTTAACTTGAATGCACATGCAAATAATGAAAAACCCACAGTAACTATTAGTCACCAAATGAGGAATTTAAAAATAATATTGATTGGCCGGGCGTGGTGGCTCACACCTGTAATCCCAGCACTTTGGGAGGCCGAGGCGGGCGGATCACAAAGTCAGGAGATCGAGACCATCCTGGCTAACACGATGAAACCCCGTCTCTACTAAAAATACAAAAAATTAGCTGGGCATGGTGGCGGGCGCCTGTAGTCCCAGCTACTCGGGAGGCTGAGGCAGGAGAATGGCGTGAACCCGGGAGGTGGAGCTTGCAGTGAGCCAAGATCGTGCCACTGCACTCCAGCCTGGGCGACAGAGCTAGACTCCGTCTCAAAAAAAAAAAAAAGAAATAATATTGACTGAACAAAACTCTTATAGATTGAATATAAATGTCATACATAAGTAGACTTTATTCCCTCATTTTAAAGAGTAATATACAATTTTAAGTCTTCAGTTTTCAGACATTCACAAATGAGAAAGATGAGTTGAACCCAGCTATTGCTTTTCTTCTCTTTTATAGCTATTATCTTCCTAAAAAGTTCACCCAGTGTAATATTGAAGAGTATCATGACTTCCTGAATAGTGGAGGTGGTGCCTGCCTTTTCAACAAACCTTCTAAGGTAATAAGTGTGGTTAATAAGGTTTATAATATTAATTATCAACCTTTCTAAAATATTACAAATACACATTTTCAGCTATTGAATCTTAGAGAGCTTTTCAACTTGCCCTGTATGTACATATTCTAGATATGCTATATATCTGCATATTCAAAGTCAGCTTTAATGTTGGGCATTTTGGGCTATTCTGATGGGAATAGAAAGCAGGTAGAAATAAGTGTTTGCTGTCTGAAAAATTTCCACTTTCTTTTTATATAGCCAAGTGATGATTCAGAGTTAGTTTACAAAAATGGTTTTATTACTTTTCTTTTTTATTTTCTTGATGTTTATTTTTTTTGGTTACCTAATCACAACTCATACAGGTAGAAGGTGGGGGCTTATCTACCCTCATCACTCCCTATCACTGCCTTTCTGAATGAGCAGTATGTTAAAATTACAAGTATTTCTCAGTATGAAAAACAAGTCTTCTTAAAGCAGAAATGGAGAAAGTCTTGGACTTTGTCACAGGCTTTTACAACTTGCAGCACATCCTCTGGTTACTGACTAGAAAGAAGGTCTTCCTCCTGCATTTTGAAGACTTTGCATGTTAAAAAAGAATGCTTTGTCCTTGCGAATTATGTGAACTGTGAAATGCTTCTGTGCACCACAGGGATATGCACCATTGCCTTTGTAATCATTTAATTTACCTGGTTTAATTTTCTGTTCACTACAGTGTAATTTAGAAAATGTATCATACTGAATTGCGAAGCAAATTGACAATTTTAAGACTCTTCGAAAGATTGGAAAGAACATTTGAACTGTATCACTGCTGCCATAAATACTAAACAGTTCAAGTCTTTTTACCAAAATAATTGATTATTATAAACCCAGAGTAAGAGAATAAGTGTGGTTATCATTTGGATAAGTTTCCATTTTTGCTGTTTTTTATTTGTTATGATCAGTTTCGACCAAAAATGAAATATAGACAAAAGTTGACTCATTTGTAGAAGAGAGAATATTTAAAATCAAGTGGGTTTTGTTGTTGTTGTATATATTCTTTATTTTGTTGTTTTTTTCCTCTAATTAGTTATGAAAGTGTATGTGTGCACGTGTGTATCCATCTGTTTACTGGTGTGTGTACATTTTCATTCTATAATACGTAAACTTTGATTAGCTTTTGAATGAATATTAGGTATCTGGCATATAACAATTATTTACTAATTTTGCCTGTCACCATAGGATACATTATATTCAAAAGAGAACAAAGTTGATGAAGAGCTAAACAATAAAACAGACCTAAAACATACTCTTGGACAGGCCAAAATTTGCTTCAATCTCTGGGGAAAATTTAATTTTAGTTCGCTGCAAAACTATCTTAATAGGAGGAGCTGTATTTTTTATTAAGTCGATCAATGGATATACTAATTTTTTGATGCTTTTCTCATTGTCTATGAAATAGTTTCCTGTATCAGAAGGAGATATAGTAATAAAGGGTTTTTTCACAGATGACTAAACTTAATCCTGAACAATTTTCTGATGTGGATGGACAACTATTATTATTATTATTATTCCTGTTTTAGATATTAAGTTCTCTGAGATATTAAATAGTTTACCCAACGTAAGTACTTGAGCCAAGATTTTAATCTAGACATCTGACTCCAAATTCCCCTGCTTCCAGTTTGAAATGAATTTTCAGGAGAGACTCTGGCTTGATTTTAGTGAATGGTTAGATCATCTTTAATTTTGATGACATTTACCAGACCCTATGTGGTGTGTATGTTATATATATAAATATATAGGTAAACTATTTACTATGTATATTAAATATGAAAAGGAAACAGAAGTAGACACTTCTGTTTTAAAGTTCCAAGTTCTGAGCTCATGCTTTCTAGTTTAGGAAAATAAAACTATATTTTAGAATGACTGGCAGGGCAGGTATATTTGGGTATGGCACTTATGGTCTCTCAAAGTCTTTGATGTTGATTTTTCTATATTTTAGTTCACTTTTTGGTTTTCCTCACAGCTTCTTGATCCTCCTGAGTGTGGCAATGGCTTCATTGAAACTGGAGAGGAGTGTGATTGTGGAACCCCGGCCGTAAGTCTCTGGTTGTTTTGATGATATTTTCTAGGTAATTCAGGGTCATTCCAGGTCCACACACTGAGATGTATGGAGCAAATGTCATGCCTGGAATTTTATAGGATTTGTGGAAGAAAAATTATTGTGAGTTTGTACATTTATTTTAGAAAATATCCTGTTACTTTCAGGAAAGTGACACCGTTTTCTGATGTTTTGAAAATGTTTATATTCCTTAGGAATGTGTCCTTGAAGGAGCAGAGTGTTGTAAGAAATGCACCTTGACTCAAGACTCTCAATGCAGTGACGGTCTTTGCTGTAAAAAGTGCAAGGTAAATAAACATTAATGACCATTTGACAGAAAAAAAGGACATACTTGATTAAATCATTAAGGCTGGGTAAATATAATCTAATAACAGAAATAGTATCTAACATATATTAAATGAGTAAGTGCCAGGTGCTTTATAGGATCTTCACAAAATCTTGTGTGGTGTAGTTGCTTATTATTATTCCCATCTAAAAGATGAGAATACTAAGGCTTGTAGTGGTTAAGTAGTTTGCCCAAGGTCTTACACCAAGTAAGTTGGGGAACTAGGGCCTGAACCCTGTTAATCTTCAGAGGCTGTCCTTTCCATACTTTCTGTGGAGCATGCACATTAAATGAAACCAGGTGTTACTAATGTTTAAATGATGTTTACCTTTCTTGGTAAAGCCAAGGAGACTTTCAGTAGATCTTTTCTTGTTGCTCAGCTTGGTGTATCTCTTGCATTAGCTGCTGAGGAAACAAGGGAGTACTTTGAGACATGATAATACCATGCATATATTATTGGTCCTGCAAGTTTAGAATGCATCTTTACACACTTTATGTTTTCATCCTCCCAGCAGCATCCTCATACCTATCTCCAAATATTTAAGCCTTTACATCAATACTAACATTTGAGGCTTACTTCCCCTAAAGAAATCTAATTCTTGTTTTCTCATACAAAATCTGGTGTAATAGTCTACGTTATTTCTATCTGTCTCTCACTTTACTCTGTACATTTCATGGAGCAGAGCCAGGCACTTAGACAGTAATTGGTATACATTCTCAGTAAATATTTGTTGAGTGAATGAATAAATATGCACTCTCTTAGTGATAATTTGCTGATTGAGTAACTTTAAAGAGTTAAAGGAGGATGGGATATGAAACTATCATAGTAAGTATCTACTGTGTGCCAGAGATTATGCTAAGGACTTTTGTATCATCTTATATCTGAATTTCTCAACTCTGGCACTATTGACATTTTTGGCTGGATAATCCTTTGTTGTAAGGGTATGTCTTGTGCATTGTAGAATATTTAGCAGTATCTCTGCATTCCACCCATTAGGTGCCAGCAGCACCCCTCCTAGATGGGACAGCCAAAAATGTCCCCAGACACTGCCAAATGTTCCCTTGTGGGTAAAATCACCCCTGGTGGAGACCACTCTCTGAGATAATGCTCACAAGCACACTTTTGGGATGGGCATTATTATCTTGATTTTTACAGTTAAGCAAACTCAGTCTCAAGGAAGTTAAATAACCTCTATACAGGCTCACTTAGCCAGTAAGGAATAGATGTACAGTTATGCCCCAGATCTGCTGGCAGCAGTTTCTGTTGTTTCCACTCTACCACTGTGTCTCCTGGCAGCTTTTTAAGACGAGCAGGCACTGGCAGAGATCTCTGAAAGCACTCTGTTAAAAAGAAGATTAAACCAAATGTGAAAGACATTCTTTGATTTTGGCTACCACCCCTGTTTATTCTGTCAGCTTTTTCCACTGCCGTAACAAGACATCCTGAATTATTTATCTTAATCCTCAATGTTTTAAGTCTGCCCATCTACAAAATGCATTTAATTACACTGTTTTCCCTTTGATTTATACAACTAGGCTCCCTGTGATATAATTATTTCAAGGAACAAGTAGAAAATAATACTATTAAAATACATAAAATAAAATGGCATGACTGCCATCCCTCAAAGTAAGTTATAGCTGTACCAGTCAAGAGTCAAGTGAGATCTTTTTTGCCACTTTCTTTACCATCCTCCCTAACTCTCACCTGCCACCCTAGACTCCTAGGGCAGCCAGAGGCAGGACAGTGAATGGAGGAGGGAGAATAGAAGAAAAAGATAAGAAACTGTGTGTATCTCTATTTTTTTCTACCTGTATTTATAATAGTGTATCTATAAGCCAGCATTGGCATGCTTTTTCTATAAAGAGCCAGATAGTAAATAGTTTAGGCTTTGTGATCATAAAGTTTCTGTTGCAGCTCAGCTCTGCCTTTGAAAGCAGCCTTTGAAAATACAGAAACAAATGGGCATAGCTGTGTTCCAATAAAACTTTATTTATAAAGATAGGCAATCAGTGAAGTTTGACCCATGGGCCACAGTTTGCAGACCACTGCTGTTAAAGAGTGCTTGTTTACTTGTTTATTACTTTTCTTCTCCCATTATAATACAAGGGTATTTATTGGCAAGGATTTTGGTTGATTTATATACTGCTGTATCCTAGCACTTAGTGCAAATCCTCCCTCCCTATTCTTTCTTTTAGAAGTTTCCTGGAACTTCTTGAACATTATGCACTCCTCTAAACTACCCCAAATTTGCTCATATTTCTACCCTAGATATTCTAAAATGTTGGCTTGTCTTAGTCCCAAGGAAGAAGAGAAACGTGAAATTAAATTTTCTTATTTCCTTATTTTTAACCCACATTAAGATGCAAGTTCCTGATGAGCAGGGTTCTTGTGTTTTGTTCTCCATTGAGTTCCCAGTAGTTAGAACAGTGCTTGGCACGTTATTAAATATTTGATGAATGGATGAATGAATACATATTTTGTTTGGGTCTTCTAAAAAAAAATACTTGTTGAAATCCAGATTGGAGTTTATAGTGGGCAGTGCATGTTCTAGGAACAGCAGGAGACTCAAATGCCTGTAGAGTTCTGAGCAGCTAGAGAAGATAAAGCTTATCTAGAAAGTGAGGGAAGCAGAATAACATGTGCCTTTGTGTGAGCAGACACAAAGCATGTAAGGATACAGCCCTGAATGCTAACATTTTGGATAGAGAAAAAGAGAAGGATTGAGAAGGGAAGGGGAAGTACTTTAACTATATATCTCAGGTCTGTTTCATTTTAATGAGTACTCCTGCAATTCACATTTTTAACCTAATGAAGTTAAACATTTATTTGTATAACTCTCACACTTGCAAGAAGTATTTGAGATGATGGAAAACAGAAAAACAAAAATGCCTATATGAAGACTTAAATAATAGAAACACTAGAAAATAATAAAAGACCAAGATCTAAATCCATGTAAAAATGAGGCAGGGGAGAAGAAGGGTAGAAGAAACATGGGAGGAAATAGCTTTGTCAGAAAATCTAATTTTTGTGGTTCAACCCAAAATGTAATTTTTTGATTCTTGGTAGATAAGGCAGAAAAGGATAATGTGATAAAAGTGTCGGTGAGAATGAAGAGTAAAGGGTAAATTCAAAAGCTATTAGTACAGAAAAATTACTAGAACCTGGACTAACTGGCCTGTCTTGTGGAATTTAGCAGTATAATATAAGGCTTATGTGTAATGACTATGGAAATTACATCATACACAAGAAACTGTTTCTTAAAACTATTAAAATAAAATTTTTTTCAGTAACTGTGGTTTTGACAGATTACCATCTTACAGTAGTTTAAGGTATTTCTAGCCAAACAATTTTCATTTTGTTTTTTTTAGATGATATTGTAAGATTTTTTTTTCTCCCTACAGTTTCACACGTTGATTTTTGTTCATTTTAGTTTCAGCCTATGGGCACTGTGTGCCGAGAAGCAGTAAATGATTGTGATATTCGTGAAACGTGCTCAGGAAATTCAAGCCAGGTAATTTACAAAATAACTGCTCTAAAACTTATGGGAAAAAGTGGGGGTATCTTTAGTGCACTGACCCTCAAAGAGAAATGTAAATGAACAAGATGCTCGTGTCTCTTTCACATCATTTCTCCATTTTTTTTAGGAATTTAAGTTTCAGTGATTGAAGCTTGAGCAGATTTTGAACATAATTTTGTCTTAACGTTGAACTAACCTCAGACTGCGTGCATGCCTTAACTATTTTGTTTTTGTATTAAGTAGGTAGTACAAGGCATTTTCTTTTCATCTACTTAGTAAAGGAAGAAACAAATAAACTCTCTTCAGCTGATTGAACAAGAAGTCAGTGGAGGCAGGGACTCACAAACACACTGGATTCTTAGAGAGGACCCTTTTCTTTCTCTTGACTCTTATCTATGATAGCTTGCATCGCCTCAGCCATCAATAGCTGCTCTTGAATTTTATAGCACTTAGTTATAGATAGACAAGCTAGAGAAATTGAATAAACTTTGGTGGGAGTTCACAGATTTCAAAATGGTCACTGTACATACAGACGGTCCTCACTTTGAAGGGTAGTGCCAAACCATAAAAATGACCATGCAAGCTGAGACTATGCAAAGTCATTTTAATAATCAAAGGAAAATACTGCACTTGTTTTGCAGTCCTCAAAAAATGCTGTCAGATTATTAAAAACTCTCTTACTGTTGGTTTTAAATGGATAGGAAGGTGAAAGAATAGTATTTATTTAGCATACTGTACATTAAAAGAGAAACATTGAGAATTAAAGGATTTTATTTCTTTGTAAAAACCTTAGGAGTAGTTTGAATAGAGCTTGCCTTCTTATAAGCTTTATGATATAGAGTGAGCATATTTTCTATGCCTTGTTGAACTGTCACACCCTTTTCTAAGTTTGGATCAGCTTTCAACATTTTACAACATTTTATTCTTTGTGCTTTCAATGTCATGAGATATCCCTGAGAGATGTGAAGATGTGAATGTGAAGTTTCTTGCTGGCGTTACCCCCTCTGGGACATCGTCACCTATATGTCACAATCACCTTATTCACCGATGTCATTAAGTCCTCCTTCAGCAAGTTCCTCTGGTTGCATGTCTAGAGGCTCTTGAACAGCAATATTGACATTCCCACAGTCAGCAATTTTTTTCTGTAACTCCATTTACAAGTTCAATTTGCATTTCACTTCTGGTGTCATCACTTTTCTTTGCTGCACTTTCATCTCTGTTGGCCAGTTTCCTCTCTTGGTATTCCGTTTTTGCAAAATGGCACATGATATCATCAGAAGACAAAGAGGCAACATAATTGCATGCTTTGCTGTCTGTTTATACTCATTCAATATTGCCTTATAATTTTTCATAATTGCTGCAAGGAAAAAAGGATTATAAAGTGTGCCCTTTTCTGACATTCTTAAAGTGGACTTTGGCTTGAAAGTCATTATTTTTAGTATAAGGGCTATGTTTCTTCTCATGGCAAAAGAAAGGAAACTAGTTATTGCTCCATTTATGCAGACTTACTCTTTGTTTATTGTCCCCTTCTCTTTCTTGCTCTGAAAAATAGTATATCTGTATGAATCAAGATACTTTTAAATGTATCATTAATTGAGTCTATGGTAGTCAGTTCTTTTTATTTGCTGCTATGTAATCAACTGTTTTTGCCTCTGGTAGATTCATATTTTCAGGGGCAAGTGTACCCATTGTTTTTCCTCTTGCTTTCTCTTTTATTTTTTTAATTTATTTTTTACCAAATACCCAGACTTCAAGGACATCCACTTGCTCTTGACCTCCTTTGCATTTTGTTTTATAGATGGTATAAGGGACTAGCCATATTAACAAATATGTTTTTAAAAGTGAAAACATTAAAGGGTTTAGCTCAGCCTTATATTTTGCACTGCATTTCATTCATAGTTGTTCTCTTTTTCCTAGTGTGCCCCTAATATTCATAAAATGGATGGATATTCATGTGATGGTGTTCAGGTAGGTCACTTCATTTTTACCTATGTTTTTCACATGTACCAGCATGAAAGGAATACTGAAATCTTATCAAAATAGGAAGATCAATTTAAATGTTTGTAATCAATTCTGAAGATAAAAGGCCTCTCTACTATTCATCTATTATTTTTCCCAATCATAGTTTCTTTTTCAGTTATCTGACATAAGCAGATATTGCATCGCTAATGGGTATTTGCTTTTCCGTTTTAGGGAATTTGCTTTGGAGGAAGATGCAAAACCAGAGATAGACAATGCAAATACATTTGGGGGCAAAGTAAGTAAATAGTGTGGCTTGATCATTGTTAAAGCATGATGTCAGGCGGACTTCTCAAGGACGTGTGTGCTGGAAGTAAATTTTTGACTACTTTATGACTGGGGGATTCTCAAAGCTACCACAGGTCTTAGCAGGGGCATGTTTCTGGAAATTAGAGTAAGGCACCCCTTTGAGAAGCAGCCCCACACATCTTGGCTAGTTGGCAGTGCCTGTGGACGAGACAGAAAGTGCCTTTGCTGCCAGGCAGATGGAGCCCATGCCAGGGTGCACAGCTTGGAGAATAGAGCAAACCTGGATTTCAGCTCCATGTATACTCTTCTCAGCTGAGTGCCCTGAAGCTAAAGCTTCACAACCATATGGGATGGACGTGGACCCTGGACAGGACGTCCTTAACTTAGAACAGCAGCATTTTATCTAGAGTCATTTTTTTCCTCCTTGGATATTTTTCTTAAACTCTAGTTGGCTTTCCTAGTTACGCACTTCTGCTAAAGTGGCTTTGCTGTATCAGAAAGAAATGTTAATGTTTAGCCTTTAAAGTCTGTCAGATTTTCAAAGGAAAATATATGATATTTAGATTTAAATTATACTCTATTTAAATGTTTATTTAAATGTTGAGTAATGTATTGTTTCCTAGAAGTACTACTAGCCCAAACTTTTGGAAGCAGTTTTTGTTTTAAACTGTTTCAGGAGACAATTTGTAGTAGGAAAAAGGCTATAAAAATAATGATAATTCTTAATAGTTATAAGTAGGTGCCACAATCCTTTTAGGAGGGGAAGTGTATGCTCTCTTTAAGCAATTGGAAACATTGGGATGGGAAAACATTTAGTCAGGCAGGTTTGTACTCCGAAAAAAGATATCATTTTTGTTTTATCCACTTGAGCAAAAATAGTAGCTGACAACAAGAAGTAGGAAACATAACTACCGACATAACTATTGTTTTTTTTAAAAATATACCAACAATTATCCTTTGATTAGTTTGCATTTTGTCCTAATTCTTAGATAACTCTATCAACTGTCCCTGGTTTTAGAAAAGATAAAAGCCTGAAAAAGATACTGATATACCTTAAAATGTTATTTGACTTCCAGAGATTTAGCATGAATTCAAGCTTGTCTTAAAGCAAAGTAAAATTGCTTTTGATAGCTGCTAAGAAGTGGGGAGCAAGGTAGAAATTGTACCACTGTTTCTTGAATCTAATTACAGGATATAACTATTATAATAAACTTGTCTTTATGATTAACAAAATATGCTGAATGAGAAATTCATGTATTATATTTAGCACTGAGATTAAAGAATAGAGTATATATTCAAGGAAATATTTGTTATTGCCTTCCCTAATTATTGGCCAAATTCTTTTGTTGTTGTTGTTGTTGTTGTTGAGATGGAGTCTTGCTTTGTTGCCAGGCTGGAGTGCAGTGATGTGATCTCAGCTCACTGCACCCTCTGCCTCCCGGGTTCAAGCGATTTCCCTGCCTCAGCCTCCCAAGTAGCTGGGACTACAGGTGCACACCACCACACCCAGCTAATTTTTTTTGTATTTTAGTAGAGACGGGGTTTCACCATGTTGGCCAGGGTGGTCTCGATCTCCTGACTTCATGATCTGCCCGAATTATTGGCCAAATTCTAAGGAGTGTTTGTTTTTGTAGCCTACAGCCTGAGTCCCAACAGAGAACTAAATACATTTGTTTACTAAATTTCAAATGAGCTTTAATGAAAACCTATCTGAGTCATGGATATATATGATCCATGGTAAAACTGTGAACCGTTCGTTGGTAACATTTTTGGAATTGATAACACTGTAGTGATGAAGAGTCCTTATATTACAATTTTTCTTTTCTGCAAAGCTTTTGAGCAGCCAAATCGTACTTCCCTCACTGATAGAAAATTTTTTTCTGCCTTAGAGGTGACAGCATCAGACAAATATTGCTATGAGAAACTGAATATTGAAGGGACGGAGAAGGGTAACTGTGGGAAAGACAAAGACACATGGATACAGTGCAACAAACGGTGAGGTGGAGACGTCAGCCCAGAATTCATCCCTTGGTCAATTACAAGTGTACTTTTTTGAGTGACTAGGAAGTTTCTGCTTTCTGCATCACACAAAGTGTGCTCTTGCCTCCTTAACCTCATCTCTTCCCAGTGTTCCAGCATCACCTGTGCAGAGGGCTTCCAAATCTTGAACATGTGTGCTCACCTCTCTCCTAAGGCCCAGGTCATACTTGCCCCCACCTCAGGATTTTCTTACCTAGAAGACACCTTTTAGCATCTCAAAGGCAAAAGAACTTAAAGCCACCAGAATATGCACTGAGTGCTGTTGAATTGAATTAACTGGCTCTAACTTTCCCAAACCACCCCCTTTTTGCCAAAGGTCTCAATATTTCACTGTCCTTCTGTCTAGAAGCCTTAAAGTGATCCTTCCCTCTACACATTGTCCAAATGCTAAATTACATCCATTCTTCCCTTTGCTTTGCCACCATTTGTCTTTAATTCATGTATTCACTTACGTTCCTATTACCATTACCTGAACTAAGACCTATATTAATCCTTCAACTATTACAAAATTCTTTTAACAGTTTTCTGTGCCAGCATTCCCTAGTGTACTACTATCAGAATAATCTTTTGGGTCTTTTTTACTGTCAATTCTTTGTTGAAAGTTCACTGGTTCCACATGACTAATTAATAGTGAGAACAGTACCCAGCACTGATTGAGTGAACACTGTGTGCTAAGCACTGTATCACACTTTACATAAGCTATGCCATTTAATCTTCATGGCAGTCCTCCCATTTTATGGAGGAGGAAACTGAGACACAGTTAATTTGTCCGAAGTCATGTATATGGGATGTAATAATAAGCAGAATTAGAATTTGGAGAGTATGATTTCAGAACTCTCTCTTCACCATTTTGCTGAATGTCATAGTCTTGTTAACAAATTAAATGGAACCTTAGCTTGGCACTGCACCTATTCAACAATTGTCCCCAACCTACACTTTTTGTCATTTCATTTATATTCTTCCAAATCTAGCAAACCTTACCATTCCGAATATGTCCCTACCTCCATGCCTACATTTATGCTCTATAATCCTCCAGAAGCACCCTTTAACTCATACCATCATCAGCCAAAAATATACCTATTCTTCAAAGCCCAGCTTGGGAAACACTTTCTATATATAAATTTCTTTATGATTTACTCTAGAAATAAATTATCTCTCTCTTCTTTGAACTTCCACAGCCCTTTGTACTTATTTGTCCGTAATTTTGTTTTATAAGTTGTTTATGTGTGTGATTTATCTTCTTATTTAGAGTATAATTTTCTTGTGAATAAAGATCATATCTAATTGTCTTTATATATCCTGATTACATAGGTTCATATACATAAATGACATTCAAAAAAGTTTTGAATGAATATCTCTTCTCTGTTGAGAAAGCATTTTTGTTTATGATAGATACAGTAAAATGATAACATAATTTTAAAAAGCATTTTTAAAGAATAAAGTAATACATTCTTTTCTATGTTGGTGAAAAATACAGGTTCTAATTTTTCTTTTTTCTCCATGTGGTAAAGTCTGATACTTTTGTATATAATCTTGCTGACTTACTAATTACTCTTCACAAGATATTTTAAAAATATGTTTATTGTTATCTCTACTAATAATTAAAATGTGTTGGATATAAATAATATGTAAGATAGTATTAACAACAGTAAAGATATTTTATAAGTTAAGTTAGAATCATATGTAATAGTTGGGGAAGTACTGAAATATATTGAAGAAAGGATAATGAGCCTTTGTAGTTGGCAGTCTGTAAAATAAATGCAGCCTATAATTTCTTCTTTAATTCTAGGGCAACAGGTTGAAAAAAACATCTGTATTCCAAAAGAATGCTCATCCAAATATCATTCAATTACCAATTAAAAAAAAAATTGTCTGGGCACAGCATCTCATGCTTATAATCCCAGTGCTTTGGGAGGGTGAGGAGGGAGGTTGCTTGGGGTCAGGAATTCAAGGCCAGCCTGGGCAACATAGTGAGACCCTGTCTCTGTGAAAAATTTAAAAGTTAGTTGGGTCTGGTAGCATACACCTGTAGTCCCAGCTACCTGGGAGGCTGAGGCAGGAGGACCACTGGAATCAGGAGTTTGAGGCTGCAGTGAGCCATGATTACACCACTACACTCCAACTTGGACAACAGAGTAAGACCCTGACTCTAAGAAAAAAAAAAAAAAAAGAAGAAGAAGAAGAAATAGATTAGTATATCCAGTATTGTGTTATGGGAAAAGAGATTTCAATATAAAAGAAGCCAATTTGATGGATTCTTTAAATACTTGAACTAATGGACAGTAAAGAAAAAGCTAGAAAACAATTGAGATTTTGGTACATCAGTAAGAGTTTCAGTGAAGACACTTTTTAGAGCAGGTGGCACACTAATTTGGACTTATTTTATTTCACTTGGCATATGAGTAGATAATATACTTGATGAAAACCAAATGCTAAAATGAGAGAAGATTATTCTAACTGTACATGGTTTGCTATATATTTGGGAAAAGAAGTAATTGGTAATCTTTTGATACAGGGATGTGCTTTGTGGTTACCTTTTGTGTACCAATATTGGCAATATCCCAAGGCTTGGAGAACTCGATGGTGAAATCACATCTACTTTAGTTGTGCAGCAAGGAAGAACATTAAACTGCAGGTAATTATCTAACCATTCTGTAAGAATCTGAGTCATCTTATTTCTCAGGAATGCAGTTTAGGATTCCTTCCGTTTTCAATTAATGTACATGTTAGTAGGTCGAAATATAATCTAGTCTATAGAGACGATTGAGTAAATCCTAACAGAGAAGAGATAAAAAGAAGATAAAAAATAGTTGAATGAAGAATATTGTGTGATTACTAGAGTTAGGTTTAGATTGGTCAGTAAAGTCTTATAGAGTTTGGTTTCCAAACTTACAGAATTTGGAAAATGAATGAGGACTTCTAGGTAAATCAGTGTATTAAATATATGCATCTACTTTTGCTCCCTTATGAAATCTCACTAAAATGATACCAAATGGATCTTTTTTTAGAGTTCATATATCCACAGGGAGGCATAGAAAGAGAGAAGAGATAATAGCAACAATATTTTGTTATGTATAAAGCAAATGGATGTGTGGCACATGACTTATCAAAGCTGAGAAAGCTGAATTCCTAAGTCAGTAATGAGGAAAACTGAGAATCAATCCAAGATATACTCTTACTTCCCCACAGGCTCAGAAATTGGCAGCATCATCTACTTTAGGAAGAGGGAGGGAAGGAGTGGAGGGAAGGGGCTGAAATACAGAAAATAGATGAAAGGCTGTTAAAAAAGCAGTTAGATACTCAGATTACTTCCCCAACTCAGCTAAACGGGATTTGCCACCCTCCCATGGAAGATTGGAGCTTTATACTCTATAGAGAATAAACGAGGAGGTTTCTAAGCTGGAGGACAGCAAGCAATATTTATATAAGGGTTGTAGGGAAGTAGTCCAACCTCAGTGGTACCGATTTCCAGTCATCTATTTGGTCTCCTAATTCAAATATGAGCAGATTATCAGAGATGTGAAAAAAAGTCTGTAACATGAAAAAAAAAAGACAAAAACAATGAGACAATGAAGGGGAAAAAAACAAAACCACTTATCAATATTTATGAGAGATAAGAGACTTCTATAATGAAACAAGAAAATAGGGTGCTGTTTTTTTAAACAGGGAACATTCAGAAAGAAAAAATTTAGTAGTTGAAATTATCTTCCAGAAAGTAGGGTAAAAAGGCAAAGAAATGGAACATAGAGAAAATCTTACACATTAGGATAGCAATAACAACAGAGGAAACAGCAGGGAGGAAATTTTCAATGAGTAACTCAAGAGAATTGTCTAGAAATAAAGGACTTGAGTTTCCATATTAACAGGCTCACCAAGTGCTGAATACAATGAGTGGAATTAGAGGTACATCTAAACATATCATTATGAAATTTTAGAACCTTAGAACAAAGCAAAGAATTCTGGAAGTTTCCAGAGAGGAGAAAAAAATCAAAGACTTAAGAATTAAAATGGTTTAGGATTTGGCAACAGGAGCCCTGGGAGTCAGAAGACAATAGAGAAAATTATTTCCAAACTAGAATTTTGTACTCTGGCAAAATATCAAACAAGTGTGAGGGTAGAAAATAAAGACATGTTTAGTTATGCTACAAATTTCTCAGGAAAGTACTAGAAATTGCACTCCACCAAAACAAAGTAAACCAAGAAAGAGAAAGACAGGGAATATAGGAAACAACATACCACAAAGAGAGACCGGGCAATCCCCAAGTGATAGTGAGGCGAAAGTCAAGATTTACAGCGCTACGAAACCGGCACATGTGGACAGTCAGCACAGACAACAGCAGGCCAGAAACTCCAGGAGACCTTCATAAATAACAAAAGAATGAATTAAGAGTAGAAAATGGTTTTCTTCTAGGATGAGTATCTGGAAGAATATCTAGAGAGGCAGAGAACTGCTTTATTGTGTTTAAAAACAATTTATCTGTTGATTCTTTAAACTATATGCATATGTAATTTTGATAAAAATAAATGAAGTGAATGGGGATTGAATGTAAATGGCCTAAATACCCCATTTAAAAGGCACCAGAGTGACAAGTTGGAGAAAAATAAGACCCCAAGGTGTGCTGTCTTCAAGAGAGCCATCTCATATGCAGTGACATCTATAGACTCAAAATGAAAGGATGTGGGAAAATCTAGCAAGCAAATGGAAATCAGAAAAAAAGCAGGGTTGCAATCCTAATTTCAGACAAAACAGACTTTAAGCCAACAAAGATACAGAAAGACAAAGAAGGGCATTATGTAATGGTAGAGGGTTCAATTCAACAAGAAGAGCTAACTACCCTAAATATATATGCACCCAACACAGGAGCACCCAGCTTCATCAAGCAAGTTCTTAGAGACCTACAAAGAGACTTAAACTCCCTCACAATAACAGTAGGAGACTTCAACACTTCACTGATAGTATTAGATAGATCATCAAGGCAGAAAATTAACAAAGATATTCAGGACCTGAAGTCAATATTGGACCAAATGGATCTGATAGACCTCTACAGAACTCTCCACCCAAAAACAACACAGTATATATTCTTCTAATCATCACATGGCCCATACTCTAAAATTGACCACACAATTGGACATAAAACAATCCTCAGCAAATGCTAGCTAGAGCACTAAAATCATACCAAACCCACTCTTGGACCACAGCACAATACAAATAGAAATCGAGACTTAAATTTTTTTTCAAAACCATGCAATTATATGGAAATTAAGCAACCTGGTCCTGAAATGACTTTTAGGTAAATAATGAAATTAAGGCAGAAATCAAGAAGTTCTTTGAAACTAATGAGAAAAAAGATACAAAATACAAGAATCTCTGGGACACAGCTAAGGCAGTGTTAAGAGGGCAATTTATAGCCCTAAATGCCCTCATCAAAAAGTTAGAAAGCTCTCAAATTAACAATCTAACATCACAACTAAAAGAACTAGAGAAGCAAGAACAAACCAACCCCAAAGCTAGCAGAAGACAAGAAATAACCAAAATCAGAGCTGACCTGAAAGAGACTGAGACATGAAAAGCCAGGTAAAATATCAACAAATCTAGGAGTTTATTTTTTGGAAAAATTAATAAGATAGGTCACTAGATAGACTAATAAAGAAGAAAAGAGAGAAGATCCAAATTAATACATCAGAAACGACAAAGGGGATGTTACGACTCACCCCACAGAAATACAAACAATCATCAGAGACTACTACGAACACCTGTGGCACACAAACTAGAAAATCTAGAAGAGATGGATAAATGCCTGGACATGTGTATACGTTTCCAAGACTGAATCAGGAAGAAATTGATTTCCTGAACAGACCAATAACAAGCTCCAAAATTGAACCAGTAATAAATAGCCTACCAACCAAAAAAAAGGCCAGGACCAGACAGACTCACAGCTGAATTCTACCAGATGTACGAAGAAGAGCTGGCACCATTCCTACTGAAACTATTCAAAAAAATTGAGGAGGAGTGACTCCTCCCTATTTCATTCTATGAGGCCAGTATCATCCTCATACAAAAACATGGCAGAGACTCTACAAAAAAAGAAAATTTCAGCCCATTATCCTTGATGAACATTGATTCAGAAATCCTCAACAAAATACTTGCAAACCAAATTGAGTAGCACATCAAAAATCATATCCACCATAATCAGGTAGGCTTTGTTCCCGGGTTCCAAGTTTGGTTCAACATACGCAAATTAGTAAATGTGATTTTTCACATAAACAGAACTAAAGACAAAAACCACATGATTATCTCAATAGATGCAAAAAAGGGTTTTGATAAAATCCAACATCCTTTCATGTTAAAAACTCTCAATAAACTACGTATTAAAGGAACATACCTCAAAATAAGAGCCATCTATGACAAACCCACAGCCAACATCATACTGAATAGGCAAAAGCTGGAAGCATTCTCCTTGAAAACTTACACAGGACAAAGATGTCCTCTCTCACCACTCCTATTCAACATAGTATTGGAAGTCCTGGCCAGAGCAATTAGGCAAGAGTGAAAAATAAGGGAAATCCAAATAAGAAGAGAGGAAGTCAAACTATTGCTCTTTGCTGATGACGTGATTCTATATCTAGAAAACCCCATAGTCTCGACCTAAAAGCTCTTTCAGCTGATAAACAACTTCAGCAAAGTTTTAGGATACAAAATCAGCATACAAAAATCACTAGCATTCTCATGCACCAACAATAGCCAAGCTGAGGGTCAAATCAGGAATGCAATTCCATTCACAATTGCCATAAAAATAATAAAGTACCCAGGAATACAGCTAGTCAGGGAGGTAAAAAATCTCTGCAATGGGAATTACAAAACACTGCTCAAAGAAATCAGAGATGCCACAAACAAAAGGAAAAACATTCCGTGGTTGTGAATCAGAAGAATAAATATTATTCAAATGGCCATACTGCCAAAGCAATTTACAGATTAAATGCTATTGCTATCAAACTATCGATGACATTCTTCACAGAACTAGAAAAAGCTCTTAAAATTCACAGGGAACTAAAAAGCTGGAGGTATCACGTTGCTCAACTTCAAACTATAGTACAGGGCTACAGTAACCAAAACAGCATGGTACTGGTACAAAAACAGATACATAGACCAATGGAACAGAATAGAGAGCCCAGAAATAAAGTCGCACACCTGCAACCATCTGATCTTCGATGAAGCTGACAAAAACAAGTAATGGGGTACTGGGTATATACCCAAAGGATTATAAATCATGCTGCTATAAAGACACATGCCCACGTATGTTTATTGCGGCACTATTCACAACAGCAAAGACTTGGAACCAACCCAAATGTCCATCAATGATAGACTGGATTAAGAAAATGTGGCACATATACACCATGGAATACTATGCAGCCATAAAAAATGATGAGTTCATGTCCTTTGTAGGGACATGGATGAAGCTGGAAACCATCATTCTCAGCAAACTACCACAAGGACAAAAACCAAACACCGTGTGTTCTCACTCATAGGTGGGAATTGAACAATGAGAACACTTGGACACAGGAAGGGGAGCATCACACACCGGGGCCTGTCATGGGGCAGGGGGAAGGGGGAGAGATAGCATTAGGAGATATACCTAATGTAAATGACGAGTTACTGGGTGCAGCACACCAGCATGGTGCATATATATATGTAACAAACCTGCACGTTGTGCACATGTACCCTAGAACTTAAAGTATAAGAATAATAATAATAAAAAACCAACCCCCCCACCCAAAAAAAATCACTTCATTTCTAATTCTCAAATAAATTCAACATATTTGGAAAAAAAAAAAAACAAGTAATGGGGAAAGGACTCCCTATTCAATAAATGGTGCTGGGATAACTGGCTAGCCATATGCAGAAGATTGAAACTGGACCCCTTTCTTACACCATATACAAAAATAAACTCAAGATAGATTGAAGACTTAAATATAAAACTCAAAAGTATAAAAACCCTGGAAGACAACTTAGGCAATACTGTTTTGGACATAAGAATAGTCAAAGATTTCATTATGAAGACACCAGAAGCAATCATAACAAGCAAAAATTGACAAATGGAATCTAATTAAACTAAAGTGCTTCTGCACAGCAAAAGTAACTATCAACAGAGTAAACAGACAACCTACAGAATGGGAAAATTCTTTTGTAAACTATACATTTGACAAAGGTCTAATATCCAGCATCTATGAGGAACTTAAATTTACAAGAAAAAACAACCCCATTAAAAAGTGGGCAAAGGACATGAACAGACACTTTTCAAAAGAAGACATCCATTTGGTCAAAGAGCATGTGAAAAAAGATCGATATCACTGATCATTAGAGAAATTCAAATAAAAACCACCATAAGATACCATCTCACACCAGTCAGAATGATTATTATTAAAACGTCAAAAAATAACATGCTGGCAAGGTCGCAGACAAAGGGGAACATTTACACACCTTTGGTGGGAGTGTAAATTAGTTTAACCATTGTGGAAGGCAGTGTGGCGATTCTTCAAAGACCTAAAAACAAATACTATTCGACCCAGCAATCCTATTACTGGGTATAAACCCAAAGGAATATAAATCATTCTACCATAAAGACACAGGCACACGTATGTTCATTGCAGCACTGTTCACAGTCTCAAAGACATGGAATCAACCTAAATGCCCATCAGTGGCAGACTGGATAAAGAAAATGTGTAATACACACACACACACACACACACACACACACACACACCATGGAATACTATGCAGCCATAAAAAAGAACAAGATCATGTCCTTCACAGGGACATGGATGGAGCTGGAGGCCGTCATCCTTAGTAAACTAACACAGGAACAGAAAACCAAATACCACATGTTCTCACTTATAAGTGGGAGCTAAATGATGAGAACACATGGACACAAAGAAGGGAGCAACAGACACTGGGACCTATTTGAGGGATGTGATGAGGAGGAGGGAGTGGATGAGAAAAAATAACTATTGAGTACTAGGCTTAGTAGCTGGATGATGAAATATTCTGCACGACAAACCCTCATGACATGAGTTTACCTATATTACAATCCTGCACATGTACCCCTGAACATAAAATAAAAGTTTAAAAAATGGTGACTTTTATAGTAGCATTGACATGGCCCCATATGAATAAATTGTGAATATATATTTTCAATGCTTACCGAGGTTTTAAAAAACATTTCTAAATAATATATGCAGGTTTGCTATATTGAATAGTGATATACAATAGTTTAGTCATTCTCAAATGTAATTGGTACATATGCAATCTTTTTGGGTCAGCCAACTTATCAAATTACATACTAGTAATAATGCCTTACTTACCTTTTGCTTGGTAGCCCAGGTGAAATGATAAACCTGTTTCAATTCAGGCCCCAGTTATAGTAATTACATTCAAATCCTAAACTTTATCAATTTCTCCAAAAGGAATTAGATCAAAAGATTCAATAGCTTTCTCTGAGATTGAACTGGCTTATGCTACTGGTCTTTAATAAGTAATAAATAGAATAGAGGAAGCAATATTGCCTGCTTTTAAGTTTTTGAGCATATTTTCAAAATGAAGGTGAATTAATAGATTCATTTTTTGCTCTCAATTTGTTTTTAGTGGTGGGCATGTTAAGCTTGAAGAAGATGTAGATCTTGGCTATGTGGAAGATGGGACACCTTGTGGTCCCCAAATGATGTGCTTAGAACACAGGTGTCTTCCTGTGGCTTCTTTCAACTTTAGTACTTGCTTGAGCAGTAAAGAAGGCACTATTTGCTCAGGAAATGGAGTAAGTATCCAGTACCTTGTCAGAATCTATTTCTTTTATATCACAGAAATAGACAGGACCCTAAACTATTTATTTTTCTTAATTATGGAAAAAAATGATTTTTCATATTTCTAGTTGGTATATAAATACTAATTCAATTATAGTTATTTGAATATTTCTGTTGTATAATCTGAGAAAGCCTGGGGATAAGGAAATGAATAATCTTTCTAACCAAATTCTCCCATCCTTCTTTTCTGTGTTACTATGATCTCATATAATATAATGCCAACTTTTTACAAGTGAACTAGGAGATAAATTTTAACAAACTATAATGGGATTTTAAGAAAGAGAATAAAAATTGGATGTGATGGCCACAGTATTTAAAAACGATGTGGTCTGGGCACTGACAAATCTCAACAGACTTGTCAGATTGTACACACTGCTGTAGCCACACCAGCGTGTACAAGCTGAGGATAAGTCCTAGAAATAAAAACAATAACTTAGGGAAATGTTTCTTACAGATGAGTAGAAAAAAACGGCATTTGAAAGACTTTTAATTCTATTCTTTAAGTTATATATTCTTTCAGTTATATATCAGATAATGTGTATCCTGTACAGGTAAGTTTACAGGTTAAATATTCATCCTCTACTAGGGATAAAGTTTTGTCAGTTTCAATTAGGAATTCCTATACCATCAAAAAAGAGTTTGTTCTATTTCTTTCAGCATGTGCTATGGCATTCTTTTTATTTTTGTTCCAGATTCTTTGCTTGAACTGTTGTATTATCCAGTTAAGATAAAGGATCCCTGTTTTGGAATTGTAAGCCTTCATTCCTGGTCTTTCCATGCTTGTCCTCAGGGATATTCCAAGAATTTATTTAGGGAAGTAACTAATTGTTACTTCTTGCCAAAGCATAGGAATTCTCATGGCATATAAGAGTAGAGCAGACATGTACTAAGTAGCTCTGCTCCTATGAAGGAGTCTTCCAAGTCTTCTTTTCTTAATCTAAGAGGATGTTAGGGGATAAGAGGAAAAGAATAATGGAATTTTTCTTGATCATCCATGCTAATGAATAAGCATGTCTTATCCATCTTAAGATTCTGAAACAAAACACAAGAGACCAAACATAGTTGTGCTTGGTAAACATTTGTTTAATTAATTAGTAAAAGAATAATCAATGCAAATAAATCAGATGGCAAATCAACATCCAGATAATTTACAATAATTATGCATAATATAATTATGTATTCACAATAATTATGCATAATTATATTTGGGGTAATTTTAACTTACAGCAACTCTATATTTGTGTCAAAAAATTAATATAAGAAAAATTAATACAAGTAAATATTATTTTTGTACTATATATCATGTAGTTAGGAGTGTGGGCTTGCAATCATATAGCCTGGGTTTGAATCCCAACTCTGCTTTTTATTAGCTGGGTAACATTGGGCAAATTTCTTCGCCTTTGTGACTCAATTTCTTCCTCTGTAAAATGGAGATAATAATAGTGCCCACTTTAAAGAATTGTGCGAAGAAGGAGTTAACTTGTAAAACACTTAAAACAAGACTGGGATATGGCAAGTGTTCAATAAATGTAAGCTATGCTATTTATTATGATTACTGTATACTGGGCATCATTGTCTGTTCTTGTCACTATATCGCTGATACCTGACATATGATATAGCAACTGATGCTTGAAGAAGCCAGGCGACCTGATTAAGGTCCCTTAGTAAGACAGGAGTGATATGGTGAATCAAATCCAGGCCTTTTGATTTTAAGCCTAAACCTTTTTCGTTCTGCCTATTTGTTAATCTGTAGCTCTGATTGAGGCTGTGTTATAGTTACATTTAGATGTGGATGTATGTTATGTTCCTGAAAATTAGATCAGACAAGACAGAAACCCCTGTAGTAAAAACCTGTCTCAGGAGGAACTTTGCTCATCTTCAACCTAACTTAACTCTCTCCTGCTTCTCTACTCAAGGTTGTTTTGAATTAGATTTAGGTGTATATTCTGTTTCCTGAGTGGACTAATGAAGAGAGATTATTTTCCTATAATATAAAAAAAAATGGTGTCAATTTTATATGAATCTTTTTTCTATACTCAATTCGTGGGAGTTCTTAGTTCCCCTGACCCTGACATAGCTAGTATCTACAGCATGGGTTGAAGTGCTAAGGTTGTATAGCCTTGTGGAACTTTCTTCTCAGCCCACTGCAAAACATCAGGTCTCCCCTCTTCATCAGACTTTTATTTCATTTTGCTTCCTAAAAAATGAATAACATTTTTGCATGAAGACCCTTACTATGGAAGGAAGGAAACCTTTGTATTAGATAATTGACAGATGATTATATTTCTGCTTAGCTTTTTAAATCTTCCTTATAAAATTTAAGTTAGTGAAAGTCAAAACAATAATTTCTTTGATTTTTTTTTTAGATGTAGATCAATTTCTCTGTTAAAATTCATCGTTCCCTTTGGGTCAGTTGTTGGTCTCTAGGAAACATTTGCTTGAGGTACTGGAGGGAGAAATAATGTAATTAGTATTAAGAAGAACATACTAATAATTTTTTGGAATTACCACATTCTAAGCATATAATAATAAGAAATTAGTGTTTATTTTTCATGCTTCTGTACCAGAGAGTTGACATTTACTCTAGCTTGATTTTGGATCTCAGGTTTGCAGTAATGAGCTGAAGTGTGTGTGTAACAGACACTGGATAGGTTCTGATTGCAACACTTACTTCCCTCACAATGATGATGCAAAGACTGGTATCACTCTGTCTGGCAATGGTAAGTACTTAATTTGGTAACATTATGTAGTCTTTATACACAAAGAGAAAGCTGCTCTCTGAAAACTTTTATTTGAGTTATTTTTATGATAATCAGAAATACATTCTCATAATAATGAATTATACAACTGGGGTCCATTTTATGAAACTGATTATGTCCATTAAATTGTAATGATATGTAATATTACGTATAACTTAGTCTATTTGATTTAGCCTTATCTTGTCCTACTTCATTCTGAGATTTTTCTGAGGCTGTCAATTAACCCTAACATTTCTTTCAAATGTGGAAGTAGTCATAACTCTTAATTGTGTGCATTTAGAGGAATAATTTTATATTTTTGAACTGAATAAAGAAGAAACAATTAAAGAATTGGTTTTAAAATATTTTAATATTCTTTATTATAGAATCTCATTGTTGTTCAACCCCAGTTCTGTAGCCTGAACTGGCTACAGTTAGTAATCCTGGCCAAGGTTCCTGGTGGGGCTTTAAGAACATGGATAAGAAATAACAGGTGCAGTCCTAAAAGCTAGGGTGGCCCAAATGGGGGTATAGAAATCAAATGCAGACAGTTGAAAGAACTTATACATTGGAGGCAAATGTCCCCCTTTAAAATATTTCATCATTTCATTATTGAGTATTCTTTTATACAAGATAATGCTCAAATCCTAAAGTTCAGTCACTTTCAAAGGATGAGAAAAAAGGAATATGTTCATTCTAATAGTCCAGAAAGGGTAAACAGTTTTAGCTAATATGACTTTTATAAAGAAAATCATAGGATGATTAAGATTTTAGAGTCCCTAGTCTTAGCAGTGGTAGTGTGGAGCTTGTTCCAGTAATTAATTCAAAGACAATAATATTTAGATAGATGGATTTAAATGACGTGTCAAAAGCCATACCATTACTTAGAAATAAACAAGACTAACATCTAAGTTTATTGATCCCTGTTAAGTCCCTGGAAAAAAAGGAAGGGGGGGCAGACATGCTAGGTCTTGAAGTAAGAAAATTCTAGTGACCCAAGGAATCCTCTGGCATTTGCATCTGTGCATCCCACAGAGGACCTGGCAGGTTGGAGTCCACTAGTCTGCTCAGATGACCTAGCCCTGCTGTCTGACATGAATTCTGAGGGCTCCCAGACAGAGAGACTGCCACTACTATCATGGAGAATTGAAATCTTCTCAAGTAGCCCATGACTCCTGACCTCTGATGTATAAAAGGATGCCTCAGGAGTGGAGCAGGCAAAGATGGATCTAAGCTACTCTGGATGAAAGCTCTGCAGTTAACCATGTGGCACAAATCATTATCAGCAAAACAGGCCTTCTGGTGTCAGAGCCAGGCCTCATTCAGATCAGCCTTTTCTGCCTTTGAGCCCTCATTTGAGCTTATTGACCAAGCCTTTGACTCATGGTGCCATTCTGCTGTGATGATCCCCTTAAAGATTATATCTCAGCCTGCCTGACAATGGATACTGGCACAACAATGCCATCACTGTGTTCTGAGCTTCAATCCCGCCCTGGATTCTGCCTGCCTGTCTCTCTGCCAGTGTGGTGCTGCCTCTCCTGCCACATCAGCTCCAATCCTCCAGCTCACTCAACTCTTTTTCCTCTGGGGTTTCCTTCTCTAGAATGCCACAGCCATCATTGCCCAGACGGGGAATTACAAGCCCAGTGTTTCTATCACCTACATCACCTGGGCAGTAATCACAGAAGTCTGTGGACATGTTTTCTCCCTTAAGAAGCTTGTATTCACTTTGAGAGAGACAAAATATAACACACACAAAACCGAGAGCAGTAAGGACCTTGCGTTAGTTGTCAAAATGGAGTGATATGCACAATAACATTTCTAGAATTTCTGAGAAAGAGGTAAGGATCAAAAGGAACACAGATTTTCTACAAGTTCCTCCCTAAGTTTCATTACTCTTCCCTCTTTTAGTTTAATGACATCATGGTTTCTGGAAAATACAACTGTGCAAAATGCACTTGGACAAGAATTAAAAAGGACATTTGCCAAAAATTATTTTTAAAACAACTGATATGGATTGCTGAATTATGGTTGATTTTTTCTTTCCTTTGAAAAATACTCATTTTTGAAAACAAACAGTGTTGTTAGTGTGATGATTACAAAACTGAACAATAAAGTTTCTGAAAGGATTTTATACCACTGATCTTCCTTCTTTCTTTTTTTTCCTCTCAGGTGTTGCTGGCACCAATATCATAATAGGCATAATTGCTGGCACCATTTTAGTGCTGGCCCTCATATTAGGAATAACTGCGTGGGGTTATAAGTAAGTGAAATGTCTCAGTCTTGTTACTATTGAAATATACTTCTAAACATTTTGATTACATGAAAACATCTAGAAAGTTTTGTATCATTGGTTGAATATACTTGCAATGAAAATCAGCTTGGCTCAGCAGCCAGTCAATGCTTATTCTTGGCATGGCGAGAAGTGATAATAACATCATTTTTTAGATTTTGAGACAACTTCCTTCTATTGTAAAAGAACTGAGTATTATTTAAAAATCCTTGAAGTGAATTGAAACCAGTCTAAATTTGTAAAAACTGGTAAGTTGTAACTTTTGAAGAGAATTTAATAACCTTAAACATTTTGCTCAGTAAAGGCCTTCAAACATTGTAAACTTATTTATCTATCTAATGTGTTCAATTTTCTTTTCATGATTTATATAATCTGAAAAGAAACCAGAGTATTCAATTTCCTTTTTAAGTGCTTTAATCTTATGATGTGAAAAATTTCTTTGTATTCAAATAACTAATTTAAGTTTAATAAGTTAAAATGTAAATATAGTAAACCTTAAATTTTCTTTAATATTTCAACTTAAAATCATATTCTGCTGATCCTTGATGATGATGTTCCAGTCCACAGGCCTGGGGTTTTTCTCCATTTGGAAGGCCTGCAGCTTGTGCTAGGCATTCTGGGCATTACCTCATTTCATAGCACATTTTTCCTCATGGATCAAACTTAGGTAACTCAAAGTTTTGGGAATTAGAATCAAAATTTTAGACATTTACCCCATGCCTTTTAATGGACTTGCCTTTGTTCCATAAGTTAATATATGTCAAACACTCAAAGTAGTACCTGGCCCACAGTAAGCACTATGTAATTGTTTGCTATTATTATCACTTAACATGGTCTTAAACCAATTGCACCAAAGGAAACATCTTTATAGTGTACATGGTAATTGCTTGTGAGGTCAAAACCATCAAAGAGTTTCTTTGGCTAAAAAGGGAGAGCAGTTAGTTTACTGGCAGGATAAGCTTTGTATGCTGCAAGCATTAATAATACAGGCATTTGTGGAAGACTATATATTAATGAGTAGCGCAGAGAGCATATTACAGTTTGGCAAAACATTACAGTTTGACATGGCATGTCATAGTGAAGGAGAGTACAGCACAGTAGTAAGCTTTTCCCTGATTAAATGAGCATCTAGCCCTGTACCATGTAGTCTTCCACAAATTCTTGTATCATTAATGCTTGTAGCATACAAAACTTATCCTGGCAGTAAACTAATTGCTCTCCCTTTTCAGCTAAATAAACTCTTTCATAATTTTGACCTCACAAGCAATTGCCATATATACTTACAAAAGTGTTACCTTTGGCGCAGTTGGCTTAAGACCATGTTAGGTGATAATAATAAGTTCATAGCAGATGCTTAAAACCTATGGGCCTCTTTGGTGTGCAGGTTACTGGGTGTATTTCACCTCAGCATAACATTTGGAGTTATCAAATCATATATCTGATAGGAAGGCTTCTCTTTTTGTCATTTGATTTCTCCTCACACCAGAAGCAAATTAGCTCTGTGTTGGAATCACACCATTTCTCCAAATTAATGCATGATTTAAGTAGTAATTGTCATCACAAGCATTATTGTGTTGAAGTAGCTCAGTTGTTTCATTTGGCTGTGTGAAAATGGAAAGAAAAAATTGTTCCTTCTGGAGTGTGTGATTTTCTGCCACCTAGTGATGGAAGTGGATATTTCATTTTTACAATCTTGGAAAAACCTACCTTTTAGAAACCTAAACGCTCATATTACTTATTAAATTATGTGTCTATTTGCCTTTATTGATTAGAATGAAAATCACTTTTTTTCTGCAGGTGACTTCTTATTTTTATGGCATTCTTTTGAGATCTGTTCATTCCTCAATATATACACTTTGCAACTTTAATAAGATCCACTTAGCTGGAAACTCATTTAAGTTGATTTTAGCTTAAGGAAAAAGACACACCTTGTGCATACTACAGTATCTTCTTTATAAATAACTAGCCCAAATAGCTAAAGTTTTAATGTTTCTAAAATTATTCAGAATATGTTTAGGAATATAGTGGGAATGTAGATATTTTAATAGAGGAATTAAATTCATGAATATGATGTTTTACTTATTCTATTTGCAATTTAAAACCCCATTTAGAACCTGAGAACTCATTTTCTCATTAGTTTGTCCAGTTAAACTTTCTACCCCTTCTCCAAGCCTTGGGGTGGAGAATAGCAGGAATTAAAAAAAAAAATAAAGTAGAATGCTCATTTGGAACCGTATGGCTCAGGAAATCAGATTGAAGGAATAAAAAGCAAAACATGTTGAATAGAAAAATACCAGGCTTATTTTTCCCCCATCTGATAGTTTCCAGGATGAAAAATAATAACAAATTGGCACCTTTGCCGTCATGTGCCCGTTATCAAACGTGATATGTATAATGTGGATGAAATAGACTGGCAAGTAAAGATGTTACCAATGAAATCCATATGAAAACATTATCCTTGATCTTAGAGGAAGCAGCCCAAAACTACTCACTTGCATGACCTTTCTAACGTGTCTCCAAAATATTAACACTTAATTATGTCAAGATAGAAAGTTAGCAGTGAACTCTTGAAAAGTCACTGGTACTGTACTACCACACCCTGTAGAGCAATTTTTTAATAAGATCCACTTAGTTGGAAACTCATTTAAGTCGATTTTAGCTTATGGTTAAATAAACACAGAGACTAAACATTGAACAAGTATTTCCAATGTGAAGCTTCAGCGAGTAAGTAGTAATCACTTAGGAGATCCTTAACAGTCACGAATTGACTCACTCCTATTTATCATACCTGATGAAATAAAATGTTCTGGTATTCATTTATATTCCCCTATTTGAAATTCTTAGGAATAACTATAGTTTGGGGTTTATATTCCATTAGGAATGAATTATAATTTTATTTCTGTAAAAAGTTATTTATATAAGTAACTTGATTCATTAATTTCATTAAGTCAATGTATGTTTGAAGACCTGTGTTTGAAATAAGATTTACTTTAGAGCAGTGATTGATGTTGAGAAAACAATTACTCTTTAATGACTGCAGCATATTTATGTTTTTAAAAGTGGACAATTGTTTGACAATATTGTCACTGACTCTTTGTTGCTTCTCCTGATGATGAGGTGACATTTTTGTGTGTGCATTCCCATTTTAATTCTGTAATTCAGAATCCTCTAGTGAAGACTTTTCAATGAAAGCTAGAGCTTTTATGTTTAGAGCTCCCTCTTGATGTCCTTCCAGAGGTAACTAACTCTTATGTTTTTCCCTCTTTCTCTTCTTGTCCATGAAAAGAAACTATCGAGAACAGAGGTATGTAATACAAATAATGTGAACATAAAACTGAAAGGTTTGACTCATATTAGCATTGTTGGAATTCATACATGCAATTATAATTAAGTTCACTTTGTTTTTATGTATAATAATCATACACTAATCGATTTTTCATTATCTTGAGGTAATTTTAATGATGGTGCTGTGAAATATAGCAATTTAAAATAGATCTGTCATTTAATTTTAATGGATCTTTTATCCAACGATACTACAATTAGTGGAGTCTTGCTTATTTTTTAATAGTAATATATATAGAAATTGATTTTTTCCATCTAAAACAAACTTCCTCTATGTTAAGGTGTCCCATTTGTTTACATTAATATTAGCTTTTCTTCATGTTTGTAACACTCTTATTGCCTAATACTTTCTGAGGGAATTTATTTATTACTGTTTTTATATTAATAATATCCATTCATAAGTGACAAAGTTTATTTGGGCAGTGTTGCTGTTGGGAATGTTCTAGCATTTCGTGAGCCTGTTTATCTCTGCATAAGGAATTTTTTGTATTGATTAGGTAACTGCACATTTAAAGAAAGAATTTGCATAGTTGGAATAATAAAAATGCCTATATTCTTGAGAAAGTCAGACACCCTGTATAGCATAACCGTAAAAATCTATGTTTAACCAACAGCTTAAAAGAGATACAAAATGTTCATGTTGTTCTATAACAATTGCCTATTTTATCTGAATCTAAATTAGCACATAATATTGGAATGCACTCTTCACTTTTCCCACTTAAAAAGTTACTAGTGCTGTTAGCTATTGATAAAAAATATTAAAATATTATCCTGGAAACTGATAACCTAGACCAGGTCTTACACATGATAATGGTATTTAGTTCTATACTCATGGTATTTATGCAGATTCCTATTTACTTAACCTTTTCCATTGTTGAGTTGCATGCTTGTGACAGGTTATGAATAAGGTGTATAAATGTGGTAATTTGTCATGCTCCATCACAACTTTCATTTTTTTCACAAATCAAAAATTTAAACTTTACTCTTTTTTAAATAAATTAAAATTCCCATAAGGCTTTAACCATAGGTATCTGTAGAATCTGTATAAATATATAGTGCCCATGGGTTACCATTTGAAATCCTGGTCAGTTTGTGTAGACAACAGAAAATATTGACCTTTCCCTAGAGTGACTAACTCATCATTAATGGAAAAAGTAAAACTGGGACAAAATTACAATTTAAGAACAACCAGATTTCTTCATGATGTGTTTTAAACTCTTGTGTCCAAAAGCGCTTGCTTAGAGCAGGAGCCGCCGTTTAGACTTTCTGTTGGGTAGAGGTTGATTGATCGTATTAGAAATCTAAGTTTGGTGAGTTTCTTTAGTGGAAAATAGAATTAGGCAAATAAGATTAAAAAGTTAATGATTCAGCTTCATTTCCACAGGAACTAAGGCTATAATGTAATTTAATATTGCTGAATATATGAAAATGAAAGTGAAATGTCTCATAGGCAACATAAGCAAAGCTAGCACAGTGCTCTAAGATGTGTTCTCATTAGGGATTCTATCCAGAATAAGGGAATTGCCCACACTTTAAAAAAATGATTAATATTGAAAAGTATGCACAAATTTCTTGTTCTAACTCAATATGTAGAGAGATATCGTTAAGAACATTTTCACATGAAGAATCTCCTTTATGTGCCTGATATAATTTCATGTCTCCTGGTGTTACTGAGTCATCATTTCATTGATCTGGCTACTCTTTTGGAATCTAGTCCATCATATTTTGAGAGTTGTCACATCTTCAGTGGATATTTATTTTATATATTTTGATATATGTCAACACAACCTTTTTTTTGTCCTTGCCCATAACTAATGAATATTAGGTTTGTACAGTAGGTCTCAAAGTGGAGAAATGGCAAAGAATAGACTTTAGATCAGGAAGTTGTGAATGTATAAGTGTTTTCTAAATGAGTTTCCTTTTTGAGAATATATGTTAGTGATTATAGACAAAGTGGTAAGGCCAACAGACCAAAGCATGCATTAAAAAATATTCAATCTTATAAAAATATCTATAGACATTCAAGTAAAGATCTTCCCAATTCCAAAATATACCAGGAAGTAAAATTAAGGATTTTGAGTTGTTATTGATTTTAAATGAGGTTTTTCTTTGAGGTTCCATGGTAGGGAGACCAGTCCACAAGGAATCAGAAATCTACTAGTATGTGGTATTGGAAAATCAAACTTTCCTCAACTCTGAAATCAAGTAAGGTTCTTTGTAATCTGTAAAGCATTATGGTGACGGGAAGTTATTAGCATGTGGTCTTGGAAGACTGTATTTCTCTGATCTTTGAATGAAAGAGGTGAATGCAGTTGTTCTCAAAGAGGAAGGCAGCATTCATTGACATGAGTGAGGCTCACACATACTGGTTGAGGTGGTGGAAATGTCGGTGAATGTAAACTTTTGCTTTGACACTAAATGCAAGACCTAATAAGTATAATAGCCTGTTATCAGATTCTTAATACTGTTGTAATGGCTCAGAAGTACCAAAATGGGCATAACTTTCCAATTCCTGGAGAGGACAGGCAAGTAGTTCTGTGAGTGAATTTGATAACCAGATAAATTTTCTCTTCTGAGAATGAGTCCTCAAGGTTTTCAGTATAGAGAAGGATTATATTCTATGTTTTCTTGCAAGTTTGACAAACAGATGTGAAGCAGACCCACGTTTTTTTTCTTTTTGTTCACAAACTTTGTAATAGAAAGAAACCGGAAGCTCCATTCTGGGTCATAGTGAAGGCAGAACTCCACATATGTGCAGCATCACTTTAAATCTGCCAGTGTCTTATAATGGGCAGAATTGTGGAACAAAGGAGCCATAGCCTTAGACATTAGGTAATTAGAATGATGGTTATATTTATCCTTTCATTTAAAATATTCAGGAAGGAAAACTTCCCCAATTTTTTCAGTTGATATTATTGTTTATATTATAGCACAATTGCTTTAGGTCTTAGAAGCTATATGACTTGTAATGAGAATTATAAGTGGATTTTAGTTTTTAGGGTAAGTTTGCAAATAGCAATAGAATAAGAAACAGTAACTGAACTTAGATACATAAAACATTCATATTTAGCTGAAATCTTATTCTCTTCCTTTGTCTGAGATGAACACACACCATTATGATTGATGAGAAATATAAAAAATAATTAGATTATATCTTTTTGATTTATGGTTTCACTTTAAGCAGAATGCCCTCCCCTTCCCCATTTCTTTTCTCTCTCACCTGTTTTAGCCACTTTATTTTCTACTTGTGAACTTCTCATCTTTTTTCCAAACCTTTCTTAGTTTGTTTTTATATTATTATTATTATTTCGGTGATATTCCTGCATCTGTCAATGTTACTTGGTACACATTATACAGTATTTCTTAAAACAGTAAAGTAGCAATTTAATAAGAGACAGCCCAGATGCCAACCAAGCATTGGAGAAATGCCTCCTTCAGCACTAAAGTTAAGAGTTGGTTAAATGGTTTTTTCCTCCAACATTTTAAGTATGCATAAGAATTATTAAGATAAATATAATTCAATTGATGCTTTTAGGAAAGATTAGACTTCTCTCATAACAGGACCATTAGCCTAAAGGTTTTGGGGTGATCAAGAAACAGTCTTACTTGATGTTTAAATTTAGAATGCTAACATAACAACTAGATGATTTATAATTATGAACACATTAAGAGTTGTCTTCTGAAGTGGAATAAGAATAAGCAAGCAATAAGCATAGTATTGTAGACCTGGAGAGAAATAATTGTATAAATTAGCTCCCCCAGAGTCATTAAGTTACAGGGGTTGATCCTTACCTAGAGAATAGGAAATACCTTCAAAAGAATGTTATTTAATGGGATGTATCGATTCAAAACACAAAATGAAATGCCAAAGTTGTACAGAGAAGAAAAAGACAACATGTAATTAATGTGGGGAGAGATACGTTTTGAGGGGGAAAAAAACTAGTTACATAAGTGTTTATTATATTTTGGCTATTGTTCACTAAAAATCATACATGTCTAAAATATTTGCATGTAATATGAGAAATTTGAGGTAATTTTCCCATTATAAAATTTAGCACTAATCAGGCCACCTACTGTGGTGATCACTTTTAGTTTCCAAAATTTGATGAAATAAGAAAGCACTCAAGATTTAGGAAGAAAGCCGTAAAGATAATAAAGGACTGGAAAAAGAAGTTTGATTTAAAATTTTAAAAGGATCATTTACTTAGTCATTTATGACAACAAATGATGAAAAGTTATTTTATTTACCATGGGGGCTTGATATTCTCTGTTAAAGCAAGAAGAATTAGCTTTGTTATGATATGTAATTAATAATTGTAAAAAAGACAAATTTCTAAATGAAGGATGTTAAACATTATTATTAGTAGTAGTATTGTTATTATTATTTTTTTGAGATGGAGTTTCGCTCTGTCACCCAAGCTGGAGTGCAGTGGCGCGATCTCGGCTCACTGCAACCTCCGCCTCCCAGGTTCAAGCGATTCTCCTGCCTCAGCCTCCTGAGTAGCTGGCATTACAAGTGCGTGCCACCACACCTGGCTAATTTTTTTGTATTTTTAGTAGAGATGGGGTTTCACCATGTTGGTCAGGCTGGTCTCGAATTCCTGACCTCGTGATCCGCCCACCTCAGCCTTCCAGAAACATTATTCTTAAGAGATCTTTAACGAAATTCATAACCTATCACTGACATTTACCATGTGAAGAAAGTTACATGCATTCCTTATGGAATTTTAGGGAAAAGCCAGTGAATTTCCATCTTTTGGAGACTTTGCAGTGTGATAGATAAGAATCTAATCTGCTCAACCTAATGAAAACAAGGTGGTGCTCCAGAAGTACATTGAACTGAAACTGACTGAAACCCACAGTTTATGATGTATTTAGCATTTAGGGTGTTTGGGCACTGTGTAAAAAATGACCATGGACTTCAGAGAAGTTACATTGAAGGGATAATAAAACGTGTTCAGTTAAAAACACAAAACAAAACTGGGCCCCATCCATTGTGAAACATAGTCCATCTACATCCTCAGTGTCAGCTAAGTGAGGCCTTACTTAATGTTTAAATTTAAATGTTAAAGAGAAGGCGATTTGTGGGATAGAATACTGGGAATGGTCAAGTGTAGTTCAGTGCTCTTGTATAATAGCTTGTCTTTATTTTTTACTTATTTTATTTATTTTATTTATTTTTTGAGACAGAGTCTTGCTCTGTTGCCCAGGCTGGAGTGCAATGGTGCGATCTCGGCTCACTGCAACCTCTGCCTCCCAAGTTCAAGCACTTCTTGTGCCTCAGCCACCTGAGTAGCTGGGATTACAGGTGTGTGCCACCACACCCAGCTAATTTTTGTATTTATTGTAGAGATGGAGTTTTACCATGTTGGCCAGGCTAGTCTCCAACTCCCAACCTCAAGTGATCTGCCCGCTTCGGCCTCCCATAGTGCTGGGATTACAGGCGTGAGCCACCACGCCCAGCCTGGTCTTTAATTGACTTGAATTTGGTGAGGCACATCTCATCAGTTTATAAAGATTATCAGTAAAGATAGTAGTGATAAATGGGATTTGTTAACCATAGATATTATTATTGGAAATGTGTTCATGGGATTCTTTTACAAATATTAATGTAATACAAAAGGGAAGTTTTCTCCCCAAGGCAAAAACTAGAACTCTGATTTTATTGACAGCATTTTTTTTCAAGCACTAATGGAATATTTTACTGATACAAGGTAAAATAGAAAATATTAATAAAGATCTCTTACAGGGGAAGATATAGCTGGTGTCATGTAACAATATAAATGTGAAGTTTCATATTATTATCCTATAAAATTAATGTTTTATATACTGGGGAAAAGAAAGAATAACTATTATGAGCTGAAGTCATTTACAGAATTAAAAATATTTTGGAGGAATCATATCAAAAAGTTATAGGTGGAATTAATCCTACATTACTAATTTCATGAGAAATTCTACTTTCTTTAGTAAACATAAAAGAGAGTAGATTAAATCACACAAGTTAAAATATGTGCTTCATACTAACTGAAAAATCTTTCAGATTCACAGACGTGTGTAACTAAATAGCATTAAAATAATATGAGAGTATTCAATCATTCAACAGAATGAATGACCAAGTATTTTAAACATTTACAACAATATGGCAAAAATTTAAGCAAGCAAACACCTGAAAATGGCATTTTGGGGGGATTAAATTCAGCATCAGCAAATAATCAAAATTATAATGGTAAATAAGGAGAAACCAAATAAGAAAAAGAAAAGTTAGCAAATTTGTGCTTTTGCTAGAGATTTAATTAAGCATAGCTTTGTTAAAAATTCTCAGTCCAGCACTAGTTTGTGGCACCTCCAACAATAGTACTGAATAGAAAAGAATCAAGTTTTAGGTGCAGTTGGCTATTTGGAGGCTACACTACTGACAAATGACCAGATTAGCTATTGCAGGAAGGTTAACTGGGGGCCTTATCTAAAATTTTCTATCTGATTACATTAGGAGAAGTAATAAAAATCTGTTCCAATCTTAATTTATTGAAAATCAGATGACTTGGGTCAATAACAGTGCAGATTAAATACATTTTCACTTGGGCACTCCTACTACAGTAGAGAGAGAGAACTAAGGTCACCCACCAACTACCTATAAATATACTTCTATAGTTTCAGCAAAAATTCAGTTATTTTTTTCAACCTTTTCTTGCTCTTGTTAAATTATCTTCCTTCACATGTTCCACTGAACAGTTATAAAATTACCTTTTTGATTTAACTTTGAATCTTTCCATTTCTTCGTATTTCTGTTAAATGAATAATGAAGCTCTAAATTGAACATCAAACTCTAATAGTGATTTATTTGGATGAAATTCTAGAATAGTTTAAAAGTCAATCAGTTCTTTTCAGACCAAATCCAGGTTGCATTATGTGATGTTTAGAAATTATAAATAGTTTATTCACCACAAAGAAAAAGAAAGCTATGCTTAATCTGGGTAGGGACTATCTGTCCTAACACACCTTCGACATATTTTTTTTTTAAAAAAAGACAAAAATGCACTTAACATTTTCAAGTATAATGAAGTTACCATGAAAACACTCATATTTTCATATTTTTCCCCAAAGCAAGGCTTTATTCATCCAAATGATAAAAGACTTTTGTAATTGCATTTCTGGCCTCTACAGTTAGAATGACTTTAACTTGTCTCATTTATTGATAATTTTATGTGTTGTGATAGATTTGATTCATGTAGATCATTATCCCTACCTCTCTTTTTTCCTGAAATAATATTTGTATATGTCTGTGTTCATGTGTGTGTCTTGTTTTCTGACTCTGAAATGTTTATTATGCCTTAGACAGTTACCCCAGGGAGATTATGTAAAAAAGCCTGGAGATGGTGACTCTTTTTATAGCGACATTCCTCCCGGAGTCAGCACAAACTCAGCATCTAGTTCTAAGAAGAGGTCTGCTTTTCTGTCGCATTTTCAGATTTCTACCTGTTCCATCACACATTATTCCATTAGTCAGAACATTTCATTATTTTGCAGCAGGTTTGATTACTTCTTCCTTCTTTCTTGAATGTTAAAAAATAGTATCCTTTGTTCTTTGATTACTCTACTTCAAAATGCCATATGCTCAGAACCACTCATTATACAAATCAGGCCACAAAATCAAAACAAAGCAAACCAAACAATAACTCTGAATCTATATAGAAACCTCAGGGTTTTTCAGTCTTGCTTTATATGGCTTAAGAAACTATACATAGTATTTAATAATATTTAAATGGTGAGCTTTATGTCATGTTTGGTAGTCAAAGAAAAAGGTTACTGTCATGCTTCAATAAAAGCAACTGTTAAATAAATTGGTGATATAAGTGCTGCATTGAGTATTTTTTAATTTTATATATATCAAAGCTAAGCTCGCTATGAAACAAAGATTGCTTCTCTGTGAATCATATATTTGAGTATTGTGATTTTGCCTTTTTTGGGGGGTGATTATTTCTAGACTTTATAAGTTACAACTTAGTTGACAAATTAAGTGTGCTTAATTTTGCCTGAGTTTTATAATAGTACAGGTGGGATTAATATATTATTTATGTCTTAGACACTGATGCTATATTCTTATTCTAGCATCTTAAGGTGTATGACACCATTTAAAATTCTGCATGCTTTGTAACTGCTTAATAAAATAAATGAAAAGAAGAAATAAATAGTTGGCATGTTTTAGGAAATGAGACCTATGTTCACATTGAAGGAAGCAAAAATATTCTTGTGGGAGAATTTATTTATTTAAAGTTGCCAATAAGAGTATAATGGACAGGAAAAAAGGTTTGGTAGCCCTGCTCATGCCTTTGGGCACATTAGCTACTTTTCAGAGTGAAGGGGAAGATGCTAGTTTATTGGAGGAAACATGACCTGTTCCGGAGTTCTGTATAGAGTGGATCATCTGTAAATATTCTGCAATGTCTCTCAGTCTTTGTAAATGTTAATCAGGAAGGAGAATAGAAGGAATTAGTGAGACCTGGGAACTCTACTTTATGTGGAACTTTCTTAAGCATGAAGGATAATTTTCACTTAGATAATGTAGCTTCCAGCAAAAGTAGAAACACTAGTTGTCGCCAAAGGAGTATGTTTCTACAGAATAATGTTTTAAAAAATGTATTCTTTTAATTTATGGAGGGCTTGTTGGCTAAGAGAAGACTAGGGTTCTACTTGAATTCTCTGATACAAATATTTTCTTGATAGAATATTAAATTTTAAATTAAACAACATGGTAAATTAGTGGAGAAATTAATGGTTTCCAGCAGAATTTCTGTTGTTCTTTTGTACAAAATATGAGTCATTCTGTGAGTAGCAAATGATGTTGAGAAATTCCAACCTAGGGAATTCATATGGAGTAGTTGTGCTGAGTTCCATTTATTTTCACTGATCAGTAGAAGGCTTTTTTTGAAATAGAAATTATTTCTATTATTATTCCATTAACCAGATTCCATTAACCAATATTCCATTAAATTATTCCATTAACCAGAATAATATGTGGAAAAGATTTTTAAGTATAGTGCTATTTTCTAAAGTTCCTATAAAAGAGTTTAAAATATCCATTTGAATAATTCCCAGATTTTAGAAAAATCTCAGTGGGTTATGATTCTTAAGCAGTTAAAAGTTCTTAAGATTTCTCTGAAGTATATGTAGCTTGTTAAAATTCTTGTGTGGTACAAGGTAGGTGTGTAAATTTTGCTTCTTTTAGATCATTCATTTAAAGATGGTAGGACACAAATAGCAGGTGGGCTCAATGGTACATGGGCTTTGTGAGAGGCACTGTCATGATAAACATCTGATTCAGTTCAGTTATTGAACAGTTAGCCAACATGTACTACACTTTTTTGGACCATATTTGTGGAGAAAAATGCCAATTCTTAGAAAATAATTTTATTACTTAAGAAAATCTAAATAATGCTTTGATAAATGTTAACCAGGTTCACTTGAGCAAATCTTTATGTAATCTCTTGGAAGTCCATGTTCTCATAATATCTGAGTGGAAACCATTGCTTTACAATTAAGAAACATCTATGGTGGGACCCCATTATAACTCTGCTGCTGGGGTGATGCTGAAATACATAGTGAATTTGCTCTGTGGTTGCTGTGTTCTGGGGAATGTAAATTGGCTTGCATTGTGTCTTGATACTTTTCATTTATATACTATTGTAATGGGGTTCCATTGTATTTGACTTTTCTTAAATTGGATGTTGTGTAATTCTGCCTTCTTCATGAAGACTTTCATGTTCTCTTCATTCTTTCATTTCAGATTTTTTCTTTCTTGATTTATTTTATTTAATGCACAGTAATGCTTAGAAGTTTTGCTTACTGATCTCAAAACATTCATTTGGTTACATTTTTGAACAATTTATCAATATTTTCAATTTCAGGTCAAATGGGCTCTCTCATTCTTGGAGTGAAAGGATTCCAGACACAAAACATATTTCAGACATCTGTGAAAATGGGCGACCTCGAAGTAACTCTTGGCAAGGTAGAGGCTGGCATTCTGAATCTGTCTGTCCACATAATCAAGTTCTATATTCTGTGGCCCCTGGTTGTAAAGACTTTTATTTCTTTGAAGCTCTTTAGCTCTTCTCCCAACAGAGAGGAGAATATGTAGAATGAGAGCCTAGTTTTTATCTGGATGGGAAATGATGGGATTCGGCAGCACCAGGACACTAGACACTTTGTGAAATTTAATTTGAGAAAGCTGTACAGTGTGACAAACCCGGTGTTCCACAGTGGTGCTGCTTATCAATTATACCCACTTGAAATGCCTCGTAATTAGACATAGGGCAATCACTTATTTACATGGAAATCTAGCTCTAAACCGTCTTTTTCAGGTAACCTGGGAGGCAACAAAAAGAAAATCAGAGGCAAAAGATTTAGACCTCGGTCTAATTCAACTGAGTAAGTCTGAACCTCTAATGGAAAAAGGCACTCCAAGGTCCTGTGCAAATAGTGTCAAAAGTAAATTAAGCAGATAGTCAAAGAACTGTAAACCATGTCTCCGGTCTTGGTTTTGTCTTTTAAATTCTTTTTTGCCCTTTAAAAATTAACCATGGCTTTTCTCTCTTACATAGGCATCTCCACAACTGTTCCCATACCAATATTCATTGATAGTGGGGGTCTCACCTGCAGGCTTTTTCCTCCAGTCACCTGCCATTGTGGGGTCTTGGTTCTATATGAAGGGAATTTGATAACATTCCTTTCTTCTCATCATCTGGGATTCAACCATTTCAAAGGGTCACCCTTCCTCTCCCCAATACTCACACAGCCTTGTAAGCATCGGGGAAAAATTCCCATTGTACTAGAGCATGATACTGCTCATGATCTAAAACCACCACTATGAGGTCTTCATGGCTGCAATCTAAGCATTCTCTCAGACTAATGGAATAAGTTTCCCTTTTAAATTTTCTATCTGAGAACATTTAAAAGGGCATTTTCCTAAACTTGCTCTTTAACTGAATCATTGTCACTAAATGCAACATTATCCGTTTTAAATGATAGCCATGCATTTACTTTTTTTTTAAGGGGGGTGGGTTTAGAAGTCACATTTAAAGTCATTTATAATGAAGTAAATAATGTATTTGTTTTGTTTGTTTCTCCACTTAAGAAAGTACAAGCAAAACAAAACCTCCTCAAATCTTTATCTCCCTTCATGGAATAAAACACATCCTTAGTATCCTTTTGGACTGAACTTGCCACCTGACTTTTTTTACCCATTCTATTTTATCCTTCCTAAAATTTTTTACTTATTTCTCACTCTAGCGATAGTTATTATTTCCAGGATCTCTATTGCTTCTTCATGCCTTAATATTTGGAAAGTCTGAATAGCAGGTATTTGTTAACTGCTTGTCAAAAACTTATGTTAGCTTTTCCGTCATATACCCTGCCTTTTTCAGTCCAGGAATAATAACATTGCCCTGAAATTTGGACCTTCCACCTGAATGGTATTGTCTTGTAAGTGGCTTGTCAACATGGATACTTTATAGACACAGTAGACAATTTCAAGTGATACCATTGCATGGTCCAGAATGGCATCATAGAATTCCATCATAAATAACTAATGTGTTAGAGTTTATCTTATATATTCCCAAAGCGCTTGGATGCTTTAGGGCTCATTGTTGATAAACTCTTCTTGGAATGTTGTTTGGTTTGTTTTGCATGAGGTCACCTAGTAAGAGCTCCTTAACTTATTTTAGTTGCTCACAGGTGTACAGATAAAATTGCAAAATGTTCTTTAGAACTTCCTTGTTTACTGTTTAGTGTTCTAACAGCATTTCCTATAACAAGACTTCAAAAACTCCTAAGTTAAAAAAAAAATCAGTATTATGTTAAAGCTATGAGCTTAGGACCTAACGCACATTTGGTGTTTAACAATATTCATACAGTGTTTTCTAGAGCAGTTACTTATTTTTTTAAATGTTGTGTATAATTTCCACTCACATTGTATGATTAAAATTGTAATACTACAGATGGCCTTTGAGAAATCTTGCCTATGAGATAATTAAATTATAATATTTAATATGACATTACAATAGGATCATCTTTATGAGGGAGAAGTATTAAGGACTTCCTCAGATTTTTCAGACTTTTCTGATTTTGGTTACATGACTCATGTTAATTAAATGGATCCAAGTCTGTAAAGCTGACCATAATTCTCACATACCTTCTTGTATAGGAACTGTCTCTCTATATATACACATGTATATATACATATATATATATATATTTATACATACACACACACGTATATATTTTCTTACAAGGATTCCTGATAGGTAGCATATCAAGAATTATGTTTGCAAACTTTTAATACTTTCCATATTTAAGTAATCCCATTTGCTTCTGATAGTATAATACCATTTGTGTGACTACAAGAGGAGCAGAATTACCACAGACAAATATATCTTTTATTTTTTTCATATAAGAGGTGTTTCAGGTCCATTACTCAAAATTCCCTTTAGTACCTCATTATTCCAAAAGATGATGAAAAATTGGGACATGAATTAAAACATGCACCATAAAGGCATGCTCTGCTAATTAACAAAATAAAATGTCCTCATATATTGTATTGTTTTTCCAGTCAAAACTTTTGCATCTTCCTCATTGTTGTACATGATGTAAAAACATTTTTTGGCTTAGACTTTGTATTATATATTGTGTTTTTACAGGAGGGAGCCCCAAGCACCTGAGCCTGGGCACTCCCTCGCCCAGACAGTCCCATCCCAAGGCATAAGCCCAGGGGGCTCTGACAGCCCCCAGACAGGGAGTCTGGATCACAGGTCAGTCTCCACCTGCCCCTTCATTCTGGGCTGCCACTTAATCTCCTTACAAGTCCTTTCCTTGGCTGAGAACAGGGTCATTTGATCTTTGAGCGAGCCCTCATGTTTGCCAGAGGTGCTCCTGGTCCAGCCAGCACCAGCTAATTTTCCTTTGCCTTTCCATCCTGGAAAACACAAAGAGCTCCCCTATCCCATCTAACGCCATTTTTTTTTGCATGTCGCGCTATATGCCAAGTCAAGCCACATAGGTAGATTTACTGCAATATGATAAAATCCCATCACTCCAGCCACCATGACCTTGAGATATCAGGAAGCTCACCATGAAGACATTTTCATGGGCAGATCCCCAGAAAGAACAAAAAATTGGGAGTTGTTTTCAGTGAAGAACTCTCTGGTGAAGTGACCACAGCCTTCTGAAATGCTCCCTCAAACAGAGGAAAAAGTCCATCAAGTGCAAGTCAAGCCATGTTGTTGTAGCATTCATGGAATAGCTGTGGCACCAGTACTTTGAGTTTCTAAGATTGTCAGTGAAAGGAACAAATGTCTCCTCCCGGAAGTGGCCGTCTGCCTGTGGGTGACTCACTTCGCTGTGTGGCTATGTTTCACCTGATTATAGCTGCATGGGCTTTTTCTACGGTTTTCCCCAGGCCGGAGCATTCACTAGCCTTCATTTGTGGCTGCACTTGGCTTTTTGACTTTTTCTTTTTGTTGAGAGTCTCAGTGGAAATCTTTATGCAAGTTTTAATTGGCTATCTGTGAAAGCACAAGTTGGCAATGATTATGGCTAAAGGCAAAACTAGTGTGAGTTGTTTCTGAGTCAGGAGATACTATCTTACCAAAAATGGTCTTATAAGCAGAAAAAGCAACTGAACCCTTCTTTCAGAAGGGAATTTCACAATGTTATTTTGTATAGTACCTCGATTATGGCTAAAAATGAGGGAAAGGGCTGTGGAAAAAATAACCTGATATTTTTATATAATTGGAAATGTAGTCTTCCATGTTTATGACGAGCTCAATAACTAAATATGGGAGAAAGAAGGAAAATGTAACCAGAAATAAATAATGTATTTTATAATTTCCCCTGGTTTGTTTACAAATAACTTACGTTTTATAGAGCTTGAATCTTTATTGTCTATAGTAGCCCTAGAAGTTGCTTTTTAAATGAAAAAAAAATGAAAAGTAAAACTTCCAAATTCTTCCAGTATGGAATTTGTTAAATCTACATTATTTTACAAGGGCAAACTCTGAAGGGGATGTATTTTTGCTTGGCTCCCAGGGTAAAAATCAAAGGAAACTCTGGGGAAAACCAACAACTGAAGACCTCCCTCCAATTTTTTTACCTTTAAAATTTGCACAGTAATTCTGATGGAAACATTGCCAGATCCATCAGGGAAATGCTAACTAAGGTCATTATTATTCTCTGGCAGTCATTCACACAATTCATGGTCAGACACTTGGAAGGCAACCTCTGAGGGTTGGTTCCTAATGGAAACATGAGCACTTTATTCTGGAGTGCACAAAGAAGAGGAAGGAACACTGCAGCTGCAACTAAATTACTAAACCCAGCTTCAAGATCATGGAGGCCTATTTAGACCACACAATGTGCATTGAGGCTCCAGGATCAGAAGAGTGGGACCCTATCTGCTCCTTGCAGAGCCAACTGGAACATACTTTCATGTTGACTCCAGCTTGAGACCCTCTATAGAGAGTAAGACAGTGGTCACGTAAAAGCCTTCTTATATTGGAAAGAGAACTTTGTTCCTTTTAATTGTTCTTAGGGTGTTGTATGCCCAAATGCCAGATTGGAATTGCAGCCATCTGAGTATTTTCAAAAAGCATCATTATCATTTAAAAACCAAAGAGCCAAATGAGAGGTGGCCTGGAAAAAGCCACTTTAGAGGTGGGTGAATGGGACTGCTGACTGTACTGTGATTGAAAGGGAGCTTCTAATTCACTTTGGGAAGCCACTGGAAAAGGCTTTCCCAGAAATGTTGAATATATTGTAGAATGCCTTGATTGAGCCTTGTTGTAGCTGAGATTATTCTCATGTCATTGTATAGACTGCCTCATAATCACCCAACATCCATTCTGGTTTATTTGCCATGGTCACTTGCATTTGGAGGGTGAAGACATCCTTGCTAAGCTTGTGCTGTGTATTTTCAGATTTTCTATCTTGTTCTGCTTTCTTTGTTCCTTCCATTGCTTTCTGCAGGTATTTAAACCCATGGTTCAAAAGAGACTATAATGTAGCTAAGTGGGTAGAAGATGTGAATAAAAACACTGAAGGACCATACTTTAGGTATTTTATAAATTAATTTTTATATCCTTCTCAAACTCTCCCAGCACATACAAATACTGTAGTGTGACTGGCTCTCTATCTTGTATCTCCCAATACAAGTTCCTATAGGTGGAAAGGGGTCCTTGTTTATTTGCTGCCTTTTGACTCTGTTTTTGCTTCGTGAGCAAGTCTGGTTCTTTTCTGAATGTTTCAAATAAAGCCATTTGAAAGGGTTGTCATTTAGTGCATGTCCCTATCACCATCTTAAGCTTTTTAGTAGCTTTCTCTTCATTTTATGCTATGTAGTGTTCTATGGGCATGAAACATACTTTCCACTAATAAAGAAGCACTATTAACCTGAACAATTTAGTTTCTAGAATCTAGCAGTTTCATAATGCATTTTTCCTACTTACTGCCTAAGAGTGCATAGTGCATACAAAAACTCACGGAAAAACGTATAAAGAAACTAAGTGAAATGTGATGGGATTTTACTTGGAGTAGAAACAATGATTTGGTCTAACTGGAAAATTACTGAGACAACATTGACCACATGGGAGTATGTGGAATGAGTTTAGGTTTTATTTGTTCAGTATAACCATTTCCTACCAGAGAAAGGCTGTGCTGAGAAGTGTTATACAGATTCTCAACAAAGCATGTAAGAAATTTTTTATGCTTATAAAAATGTTGTTATCTAATACTTCAAATAGAACAGGAAGCAGCTGAAAATATATTCTTGACTCACAAAATAGAAGAATATCGCTACATTTTAGAAACTATCAAATTTACTCAGTTCACTGCAGCTCTGTGTAACATTACAGGTCAGAAAGAATTTCCAAGAGTTCGTAATGGCATTTTTTACCCTTATATAATATCAAAGTGATTTTCTAGAGGTAAATGTCCACTTTATATCTGACTACTTTGTGGACAACTAAGGTAAAGGAGAAATATGTACTCAATTACTACCTCTTCTGAACACAATTTTACAATAAACTTTCATGTTACTGATTGCCATGACTTGGGTCAACATTGAACAGATATCAAAATATGTATGTGTTTTTAACTCTCAGCACCCGTATAAGGTGGACTCTCTCTTCCAGTGTACCATTTAGTTTAGTTATGCATAGTTTGAGAAAATGATTAGACCTACCTGCCTTTTAATTTGATCCATAACATTTGCATATACCCCAAGGAAAGCGTAACTCCTGCCTGCTCACAAAAATATATCCTGCTTTTATACCCCATCTTTCCCTCCTGCCCTGTCCCTCTGCTTGTCCCACACTTTCCCACACTGAACCTCATACACATACACTCACATTCAAACATCCCACCCTCATCTGTAGCTCCCAAGATGGCCAACATCAGGAAGACAGGTAAGATGATTTTGACTGTTATTTGGAATCTTGGCTCACCTGCAGTCCTATTTCTCCTTTCTGTTTTCCTCAGGCTTGTGGGCAGATTGTAATTTGTACCAGCCATGGAACCAAAACAGAATGACTTTCATCCTATATGGGTTAGGGCTTTTATTCCCAAATGGATTTAGCATTTTTGCAGCAATAATTTGTGAAATGGTACCCCGGAAGAGTTGATTCACCTCCCCTGGGTGAGCTGAGTAGTTTATGTGGCTCTCAGAGAAAGAGGTCACGTTTCTTAAAATCAGCACCCAGGTCTGCCCAGAAGCTGCATGACTAAATGCAATTTGGATGGGGAAATGCTTCAGCACCCCTGATTGCACGTGCAAAACTGCAAGGACAATTTTAGAGGGTTCCTTTGTTTTCTCTTCTAATATGAGATGTTGGTTCCTACAGTAGATAGTGAAATTAAGAATTAATTGTTAAAATCATATTTATGTTTAAAGGTTAGACAAAGTTCTGTGGACAGTTATAATTTAATTGACATTTTTTAGTTAATAAGGGTGATAAGATTTGAAATTCAATACAGAATTTCTGTGGTGGTGGTAAATAATTGAGATGGCCCAGAACGTTTAACACAGTGATTCTAATGCAAGGGAGAATTTCATCCACCCTCTGTGCAAGCCAAGCCTCACATAGGAGACCCAAAGTGCATCCACACCTTGGCTTGTGCCTTGCCAACCCTATGCTTAGGCTCAGATCTGCTTCATCTGTGGCCAGGTCATTCAGGATTACCCTTCCTGTCAAAACCACCACTGAGGGCAAAGGTCACCTTATTGTTTTTTGTAGAGACGGGATCTCACCATGTTGCTCAAGCTGGTCTCAAACTCCTGGGCTCAAGCAATCCACCTGCCTCAGCCTCCCAGAGTGCTGGGATTACACCCCTGTGGTGTTGGCTTTGCGGCATCCTTATCAAAATGCAATCTGCAGCAAACTGGTTCAAAATATAGTCCAGCATTTAAAATATAGTGGCCACACTGCTAGAGAGAGCAAGGCAAATGCCTAAATAGATATCAAGTGATCAGAGTGCCTCTGCTGTGCCCCCTTATCCAGTTTCGATATGATGGTGGTTGCTCAGGTTGTCCTCTGCATGAATTCAGGCCACCAGGAAGGAGCAAGTGAGATCAGGACAAGAGCATTATCTCGCCACACCCAGATCCTGGATGCAGTTCTGTTATAAGCTCTCAGAAGGTAGCCTTACTCTCGGGTATTATCCCATTGATTACTCACTTCATCAGGGTTTTCGAGTCCACTTCCATGATTCTATGGAATTTTTGGTGACTCTGAAAAGAAACGAATAATTACAACTATCATGTATCCAGTGCCTATGATATACCTTTATTCCTCACATCCTAGAGTGTAAGCATTCTTATTACCTTTCTGTAGATGGAGGAAACTGAGGTAGAAAGAGTAATTCAAGGTGGCACAGCTAGTAAGTGTCAGAACCAGAACTAGAGCCTGACTCTGAATCCAAAATCTGTACCTTTTCCATTTCACCTTAATTAAAAGTAGCAGAGTGGATACTGATGACTTGAATCCTCTCTTAGTACACTTAACAAATTCTCCTGGATCTAGGCCAGGCGCAGTGGCTCACGCCTGTAATCCCAGCACTTTGGGAGGCCAAGGTGGGCAGATCATGAGGTCAGGAGATTAAGACCATCCTGGCCAACATGGTGAAACCCCATCTCTACTAAAAATACAAAAATTAGCTGGGTATGGTGGTGTGCGCTTGTAATCCCAGCTACTTGGGAGGCTGAGGCGGGAGAATCGCTTGAACCTGGGAGGCGGAGGTTGTAGTGAGCCGAGATCACACCACTGTACTCCAGCCTGGCGACAGAGTGAGACTCTGTCTCAAAAAAATAAATAAAAATAAAATAACAAATTCTCCTGGATCAACCTACTATAAAACTCACATATGAACACAAGTGAATAAGAGGTGGACTTGTGTCCCTCTCCATGTGACTGGCCTGGTTTTTAGCCTGTCCTTGGGTGCAGAACTGAACTGAGGTTGGCCTTACAGGCATATATACAGAAGGTAATCCCAGGAAGTTTGATGTAGCCCCAAGAGGCACCACAATCCATTGGCACACAAACATACCTTTATTGTGTAATTCTAATAGGGTATCCATTATGGTAATTATAGTTTTTAAAAATACAGTAATGGGCTGGGTGGGGTGCCTCATGCCTATAATTCCAGCACTTTGGGAGGCCGAGATGGGTGGATCATTTGAGGTCAGGAGTTTGAGACCAGCCTGGCCATCATGGTGAGACCCTGTCTCTCCTGAAAATAGAAAAATTAGCCGGGGGTGGTGGCGCATTCCTATAGTCCCAGCTACTCGGGAGGCTGAGGCAGGAGAATCGCTTGAACCCAGGAGGCAGAGGCTGTGGTGAGCTGAGATCACACCAAATGCACTTCAGACTGGGTGACAGAGTGAGACTCCATCTCAAAAAATAAAATAAAATAAAATGCAGTAATAATAATGGTTGACTTGTATCCAATGATGCACTTCACTTTTTAAGTGAATGAGCTGGGCTGGTGCCTGGCTTTAAGTGAAAGCCAGGCTGGAACTGCCGGGCAAGTAGTCAATAAAGGTCAGAAAAGAGCCTGGAGATCGTTTTGAAGAAACGTTTTCCTTAGACATTTGTGAGAAATTTTGAGTTTATTTTCCCTAAAGTGTTTTACCGTACCGTGTTCTCTACTCCTATTTTGACTCCTGCTCTGGTGCTCTCCATCTTCCCAAAATAATCACTTTTATGCTGTCACATACCACCCAGCCTCCAGGACCCTTTCCCCTGCTAAAACCTTCCTGCTGGGCTTCTCTTCCCCTCAGGGTCCAAGATGTCAATTAACAAGAGTGTTATTATTCTTTACTTCTATTTTGACTCCTGCTCTGGTGCTCTCATCCCCCCAAGATAATCAATTTTATACCAGCCTCCAGGACCCTTTCCCCTGCTAAAACTTTCCTGCTCAGCTTCTCTTCTTCCCCTCAAGGTCCAAGGTGTCAATTAACTAGTGTAACTAGCGTGTTATTTTAAGAAGTAGTATATGTGCAATTTCTTTGGGGTTCTGGAGAAAATCTCCTGTTTTTGTTCTAACTTAATTGGCTTTGCCCATAGAAAGATATTTGAGGGGAAGACTGGACCTTCAGCACCCCTCATTGGAATGGCTTTGTCCATGTATCAGGCTGGCCATTTGGACCCATGGCCAAGTTAAAGCTGGAATGACTGTGAAGCTAAAAGCTAATAGCTAATGGTGTGGACACACATGCTGCAGCAGATTAAAAAGATGCCTTGTTTTGCATGATCCCCTAAAGTAAACAAGATTTAATTATTTGTTTGTGTACCTTACTAGCTTTCCTAAAGTTGGATATTTTATCAGTAGTGATTAGGCTAAAAAGCTGACGCCAGGTTAATAGTCCTCATTTTAGAAAGATGCATTTAAATATCTAAATGCAGAAGTTTGCCATTATCTTACATGTACCAAATTTGTTTCTTAAAGATCATAGTCCTATTTAAAGTGTTTTTCTAAAATAAAATAATTTCTTAATTAAAAAAATATGAAGTACATTGCTTTAATAGAACTTTAGAGAATTTGAAGTACTAGTATTAGTTACACCCATCCGCTCGGCAATGAAGAGCATTAACATAGGAGAAATCAAACAGCTGCTGTGTTCTAAATGTTCATGCAAAGGAGTGGTCCTAGCCATTTTTCAAAAATAGGAGTTACAGATTAAAAGTGAATTGTACCATTCTTCATTCTTAAAATCTATCAAGAATGTTCACTACTACTATCTTAGGGTGTGTGGGAAAAATTATTTTCAAACTTTAGCTTGAATTCAGTGTCCATAAAATGGAAATTAGTATGAAAACTATGGCAGAACCAGAGCAAAGGATATTATACGCATGCAAACCAAAATTTAAAACAAGGAAGGAAAAAAGACACCTTTATGCTATTGAATGCAGTGTAGGCAGTAGATCTTGACCTACCTAGTGCTACCCCCGCCCCTCCCACTAACATTCCCAGGCTGGATCAGTCACAGCAGATGAGGTACATTCTACTGAAATAAACACTTTTGCTATAAGGTGGCAGTGTAACCAGTTCAATGTGGGTTTTTACCACCTTGCACCATGGATTAAGGAGCAGTGGATGTGTAGTGGTAACGTTTGTGAATGGAATAGCTACTACAGTTATCACATCTGTTTTTCATTGATATCTTATGAGCAGACATTTTTTACTCAGCTGTTTTCTTTTTTCACTTTAAAGACAAATTAGCAATAGATAGGGGCTTGTCTAGTATGTTCAGCTTAGTCACAAATTACCACTACACATGCAAAATCAATCAAGTACAGCATAATACAGCAGCAGCTTACATAGAAATGCTGATTGTAGGGACTAATTAGACCATTTTTGTATGTTCTCATCAGACTTTGTTTGGCTGGAACTCTGCACTCCTTACTGCTTGCATGTTTACTAATTTATTAAAAGCCCTGTATTTGCCTTTGTTCCTTCACAACTAACACACTGGCCTCTGAATGCATGAGTGTTGTGTAAACTGGTGTGTGATTTAGCAACTAATAAATATATCAGTTGTAATGGATTTTAAGATCTTAAGAGAAAATTGGAATTATCGTACTTAAACATTTTTACATTAAGTGGTTAAAAATAAGGCACAATATTAATATTTTATACACATAATTTACCATTATAAGCTCTTAGAATAATTTCATCCCTTCTGCATTTTAGCTTTTTATCTATTCTATAGGATACATTTTTAGTGGCTTGTAGTTGAAAAGTATCATTCTATGTTCTAACATTTAAATAATCCATTGCAGTCATGAAATTAGGAAGATAAAATTGCAGCATTTCACTGTTGAGAATGACAGAATATCTTCCCAGTAGTTAAATCTTTGCAGTAGTGGTATATGAAAGTTAGAAGTCAGAGGGTTTGTTCTGAACACACTTTTCAGATATTTGAAAAATGTTAGGCAATCACATGATACTTAATTCATGTTCTCAACATCTCAGGACTTTATCTCCTGCCAAGTCTCCTTCTTCATCAACTGGGTCTATTGCCTCCAGCAGAAAATACCCTTACCCAATGCCTCCACTTCCTGATGAGGACAAGAAAGTGAACCGACAAAGTGCCAGGGTATGTGGAAACCTCTTCCATGTGCGTACATGCTCAGTCATTATCATTTATCTATGAGTTTATATTTTAAAAGAGAGAACCATTTTTCCTCCCTTGTTCCTAAGAAAATGAAAAAATCAAACTTGAAAATAAGGAGATTCTTGAGACTTTTGGCTTCAGATTTATATTTGCAAATAGTTTAATCTGCATTGATACAGTCTAGGTACATTTTGTGTAATTAATTGCTATATATTTAATTATTGTAGCTAATTTATTAAAACCTACAGTAAACAAAACAGTGTATTTTGCTATATCACCTTTTACATTTTAATCACACTGCCACTGTCTCACAACATTCCTGAAACATATCAGTATGTGAAATTCGAGATACAGTGGAGCTTAGAGAGGCAGACTGGTCCTCAGAGACTTAAGTGAAAGATGTAACCAAAGAATAATTACCTTTATTGATGTCCAGGCTCTGTTGTGGTCATTTACACTGTAATGTTCATCTTCTTAGAAATAATGTTGCAAAAAAATAAAATAAAGCTTATAAGCCTCGGCAGCTTTAGCTGCTGGTTAGACTCTTTGGTCTTCAGAGATGTTTCGGAATCTCTTTGATCCCAAACCTAAATTATGTGATTCAAGGTAAACGTGGATCATTCAAATTTTAATTTTAACTCAGAGTCAGTAAGAAGGCACAAATAATTAAAAGCTGTGTAGATCACTATAATCCAAAAGTCTTTAAAAACTACCAGCAGTGTTTTGTTAATCATAAAAAATTACCATTATATGTTAATATGAGAAATGGTAAAAGATAACAAGACAATTCAGATTCCCAGCACTCAGCTTTCTGAATTAACAAAAGACTTCTTGATAGATACCTAGTTGTTCATGATGTCATGTGTGATAATGAAATCTGAGACTGAGGTCATTCCTGCCCTCCTCAAATAATTGTCTAAGTGTAGCAACCCACTTTCTGCTAAATTGTCTGCATCCCTGTTTTGTTCCATCAAGTTAGGGACATTCCCTCAGCTGTTGTCATGTCAGAGTTTGGGTTATTGGAGATGTTACCACACAAGAGCCTGTAAAAATGATAGCTCCCTAGAAAAAATGACTGGCCCTGGGCTGAGCAGGTGACCACAAAGGCTCTGGCTGCTGGGATTGTTACCTGAAAAGTCTGATTTGTTCTATGCACTGTGGAACAGCCACATAAGCATGTGGCAGAATCCTACCAAATACACAGCCCCTGTCTCTGGGCTGTCTCTGTGGGCTGTGGAGAGTGGAACAAGCAGATCTTCCTATCAGCAGCCCCTCTGTTACCACCACATAGACGTGGGCCAAGGCATGCCTAGTGCTGAAAGTGATGTTTGGCAATTGCTCATTTTTTCTCACTGGAGTAATCATGACATTCAGGTTTTTCCCAATGTTGTTCATTTGTCCCTCCCTTCTTTCTCCTGTCACATATTATTTTTAATCTTTATAAAACAATATTGAGGAAACTTCAGCTCTCTGAGGCCAGAGTCTAATCCCTTTAGCCCTCCAGACCATTATCTGAGCATCAGTTCAGATCGTCTTTGCTCCAGACCCACCACAAGCCCCATTTAACTCCTCTCCACCACCAGTGTCACCCATTCACGAAGATCCTCACAGTTCAGATATTCCTGTGGTTTACAAGGGGTTGGTGTCTTTTCAATAAAAAGGGCATATAAAATGACCTAAGGTAGATAGCATGGTGGCTTTACCACAGTCCTGTGGAGTAGGCAGACATGGGCATTCAGAACAAGATTTCCATGAAGATTTGGGAGAACATATTAAGGGAACCTATATAGAAACATCTACTTACTCACTTGGCTTTTTCTCCTTTTTCTTTCCCAGAAACTCATTATATATACAGCGACATGCACCAAATGTCCAGTAAAAATGGAATTTGGATGGAATTGGATACAACCTAAGTCACTGTGTTCATAGGCTTTATTTGTTTATGTTTATAATAATTATATCTAAATTCTATTGCCTGGAAACATATTTCATCAGCTTGATCTTCTTTTTAAATTGGTCTTCCTTTTCTGGTGAACTGAGTTGCATTCATATCTGATCATGTCACACTTGTTATTAGTCCATTAAGGTGATTGCTGAACATTGTAGAAATTTGACCGGAACAGGGCCAATATAAAGAGCTCATGGCAAAAGCAAGGAGAGGGTAAGAGGGACAGAATGAATGAAGGGACATCCTGCCTTGAATGTATCCTTCCACTGTGATACCTCAGCTTGTGAGAGAGAACCTTTTATTTATTTTATTTTATTTTATTTTATTTGAGATGGAGTCTCGCTCAGTCGCCCAGGCTATAGTGCAATGTCGCGATCTCGGCTCACTGCAAGCTCCGCCTCCCGGGTTCACGCCATTCTCCTGCCTCAGCCTCCCGAGTAGCTGGGACTACAGGTGCCCGCCACCACGCCCGGCTAATTTTTTTTGTATTTTTAGTAAAGACGGGGTTTCACCGTGTTATGCAGGATGGTCTCGATCTCCTGACCTCGTGATCTGCCCATCTCGGCCTCCCAAAGTGCTGGGATTACAGGCGTGAGCCACCACGCCCGGCTGAGAGAACTATTTTTTAAGGAGGTAGTGATAGAAGTGGAGTGTATGGCAGTGATTTTCAAGTGGGTGATGGTGGAATTGATGGAATCACACTTCCCTGATGTCAGTGGTTTTCTGTCGTGGCTGCACAAGGGAATCATCTGCAAAGCTTTTAAAATATTCTTACGCCTGAGTCCCACCCAGAGAGATTTTGATTTAGTTGGTCTGGTGTGGTGCCTGGGAAGTGGAATTGTAGAAACCTCCCCAGATTAATGTAATGTGCAGCTGAGGTTGAGAACCACTGCTCTAGCTGGCTGTCTCAGAATCCTGGGGAAAGGAAGGGCATGTGTAGCTTAAAAAATAATATTTTAAATTCTTTTATTTCATTTGAGACACAATATTGACTCTATTCAAAATGTTTAGTAACATTAAATGAGGATGTGATGGTTTTTGTATCAAAAGATGGCTGCTGTTAAAAAGGTTGAGACACAGGTTTTGAGGAAACAGAGAGCTAAAAGTTGGAGTGTTTATTCTATCCACTTTTTAGACTTTGCAAGAGTGTGCATCCACAATCACATATATATGGATGGAATCACTGAATCTTTTTCATCTCCTATTCAGAATACATCTGCTTCCTGCTTTCACAATGTGCAATTTTGCTCTTTTCTGTTGTGCAGCTATGGGAGACATCCATTTAAGATCAACTGTTTACATGTGATACATCGAAAACTGTTTACTTCAACTTTTATAGAAACCCAGGCTCATGGAATCACTGCAAATCTATCTGCTCTTCAGACAATACGAAGACCCTCTGAGATGCTACAGAGGAGAGGAAGCGGAGTTTCACATCTGGTTACCATTTTCTTTTTGTCATTGGCTTAGGATTTAACTAACCATGAAAAGAACTACTGAAATATTACACTATAACATGGAACAATAAAGGTACTGGTATGTTAATGGATAATCCGCATGACAGATAATATGTAGAAATATTCATAAAGTTAACTCACATGACCCAAATGTAGCAAGTTTCCTAAGGTACAATAGTGGATTCAGAACTTGACGTTCTGAGGCACATCCTCACTGTAAACAGTAATGCTATATGCATGAAGCTTCTGTTTATTGTTTTCCATATTTAAGGAAACAACATCCCATAATAGAAATGAGCATGCAGGGCTAAGGCATATAGGATTTTTCTGCAGGACTTTAAAGCTTTGAAAGGCCAATATCCCATAGGCTAACTTTAAACATGTATTTTTATTTTTGTTTTGTTTTTTACTTTTCATATTTATATTAGCATACAAGGACAATTGTATATATGTAACATTTTTAAAATTTTAAAAAAATGCAGCTGTTACACACAAGTGTATTTTGCCAAATGCCTAAAAATTCCGTCACAATCACATCATCGTCATCCATCCAGTGATCTTCAAAGACTATAAGCAGGTAATGTAAATATAGTGGTCAATGCTGTAAATGTGTCTCTCCATAATTCGTATTTGTCCAAAACATGTGATATCCCTTTAACCTGTGCACAGTCTGGAGGCAGTTTTATTGAGTGAGTAGTTGAGTGAGAGAACAAAATGCCCAGCAAAACTTCTGGCCTCCACAGTTTGCTGATGCAGGAGCCCACTCTGCTGCCGATGGGCTGCTCCCTGGAAATCATCTATCCCATCCGTCCATCCCATCTCATCCCAGTGAGCCAGCCCCTCAGCAGTGTGTGCTGCTGAGATTAAGCAAGTGCACCAAAGACACATGAGACAACGTACTGCCAGTGAGCTGGTAGCTTCTGGTTTGCCAATACTCTAACCCTTTGTGGCCTGAAGTTTTGTTCCTTGGCAAAACTTTGTAGTCACCCTTATCTGTGAAATGAATGACTTGTTTTAACAAAAACAACTTTGACACTGTTGATTAAGAATATTTGTCATCACTGGGATGTGAATCCCAACAAGTCATTCTGCACTGACTCTGAAGCAAGATGACGGAAGATTCTACTGTTTGAGTTGAGCAGCTTCAACCATTCATAAAGGGTTAAGTTAGATCTAAACCACAGAGATGCAGCATCTGCGAAGTTACACTAACAGCTGGTGGGGGAAAGAATCTGATGCTTTGAAACATATATTTTTAATCCATAGGAAAATAAGATTCTATTTTAAAAGACCCTTCTTTAAAACCAAAGTTTGATAGCTGTTATAATGGCAGATCTGTCATTCCAAAAGAAAGCTAGCTACCCTAGTGAGGCTGGAGATTGATGGGCTCAATCACATGGTCTGCTCTGAAGTATACTTCTGATTTCCTCATTTGCTGTGTGTTCTTAAGAGGAATGGAATCTGCAGACAGGTTTTCAGATATACTCTCTTAAATTTGATCCTCTCCCATAGTATCCATGGACAAAATCCATATCATCTTCATATGTAATCAATTTGATTACATATCATGCCCAAACTGAAGGGCCGAGTTAGAAGGCAGCATTTTATACTGTGTGTTTATGTCTTCTGTAATGGACCTCTCTTTTGAAAGTCTTTGAAATGTTTGGAAAGCAATTTAATGATCCAAAATTACATAATGTAAAACAGCATTTTTCATGACAGGAAGGGATGTGATTGTTGATATGACCATAAAGCGATCCATCAGGCCAAGGTTTGGGTGAGTGTTGGGCAGTGTTGCCACATAGCTCAAGCCAAGAACAGAAGGGCAGACAGATTGAAAGATGTAGCAAATAAAGTGACTTTTTACCAAGATCACTGTAACGTGCACTGAATGTTTCCTGGTACTGAGTGTACAAAAGGCTAATGCTATAAGGTTTATTTTGACTATAAAAGAGTTTATAGATTTGAATATAAGGTGCCTCATGTAAATATGCTTCCTAGTTACAGGTACACAAACTCTAATTTGAAAGAATCCACAAATGGCTAGCTGAGAAGTTAACAGATCTCTATCATTCGTCTGTGTGTCTTTCTTCCCTCACCTATTTTTACATGAAATTATTATTTCAAATGAAAATCATGATCATGTGCCTTTTGGGAGACATGGTTTCTCTAGAGGTATATAGTTTGTAATTACCCGCCTTGGTAATAACCTTCCTGTGGAACTGACTAAAAATTTTTGTTTTATTTGTAGAGATTATGATTTGAGGTATACAGTAACTTTAATGTTCTATTCTTGGAATCTACTCTATCTCCCATGTTTAAACATTCTTAGAGCCATTTGTGGGATTCATTGACAAATTTATAGTCTCAAGGGAGAGTTTCAAGAAGTATCTATATGTATACTCATGGTTGGGGTTCTAGAGGCATTACATCTAAATATTTATGACTTTTCATCCACCGAGGTAGGTAGCATTAAATATACAAGCACAGCATTATTTCTCTTTAAATATCTATTTTGGAGAGAAACTTTGAGGCCGTATCACAGTTTATATCATGCAACTAATATTTATATTTCCCAATCCACTACAAAATCATTGCTAAGCAGAAGAGAGCAGTTATTTGGCCTTTATGTTCCATTGTATGCCTTTTTCCCCTCTTCCAGTTTTATGCATTGATAAGACTACAGATTGGCACCCTGCTGCCTGAGAAGTTCCATTTATCCATAGTCATTGCAGTGCAGTAAACCCTGATTTAAAGGAACATTTAAGTCTCTCCAGTAAGTGTGAACAGGAAGGCATGGGATAGAAGAGAGTCCTTATGGAGTGGACTGGCCACATGAACTGTCCTCCAGCCACTCTTTATTTAGATGGGAAGTGGCATGGTCCTCTGAACGCTGCAGGCTGGAAATGATCCCCAGGGCACATGCAATCTGTGGAAAGGAATACATCGGACAGTGCAACATGGTGAGGGCTTTCAATTTGCTGTGGTTGCTGTATTTTTAACAAGACACCCGGAGCTTCGATTAGGAATAACCTATCATTAGAGTTGTTCCTTTAAAAAATGTTGATGAATAAAGCAAATGTGGGTTTAAAATGCCAACTTATTTTTCACTTTGATATTGGTGCTTTATTAAGTGATACCATAGTTTCTCTCTCTTTTCCCTGTTACTTTAAAAAGAATTTTAAAATTGTGTTTGTATATAAGGTCAGTCTGGCATAGAATTTCTGAAAGTAACATTAATAGGATTTCTAAAGAAGTTGTCAGAAAGACAAAATTGGATATTCTCTGCACTTTCAGAGAAGGACTATTTATGTTTGAATTTCATAACAGGCTTACATTTCTTTTCTATTGATTCCCTTGCATATCTACATAATTTAATCCTGTCTATTGTCCCAGATCTCTTGTGGCTACTTTACCTGTTACCTTTTTTGGGATTTTGTTCTTTATGTTTTACAGTTACCTTCGGACCAGAAGATATATGGTATTTTTATTCACTTTTTTCAGTGTTTTAAAATAAGGTTTGTTCATTTATTCATTTTATCCATTCATTTCCTATTGTCGTATAGTTCTAACCATATATATAGTACTTTAAATATTTTCTTATGTTATTATTTAACACAATAATAAATTCTTATCTAAAGAAAAGATTATTTTACTTTATTTTACTTAAAGGAAAGAGAATTTATTGGCAGGATATTGAGTAGCTTGTAGAGTATATGGAAGGGGAGAGCCAAGTTAGGAACTGGCAGGAGCGAGGAGGGACAAGACAGCTGCCTGCACAGTCTGATAGGACACATCTGGCTGCTGCCACTGGATGCCCACATGGGCAGCGTGTTGTAAATATCACCCTACCAGTTGGTAAGTTGGCATGAATTTTCCATGAAACACTTGACTGCCATTTGCAGCATCATATCTACTTTTTATGCACCTAATTATATTTTTCCTTTCACTTTTATGTTTTTTTCTAAAACTGCCACCTAAATACCTTTCCACTCCGTTAAATGTATGGAGTCAAGATAAATTTCTCATTCTTGCTCTACAGTTTAAGATGTATAAGAAGTAAACACTTCCGTGGAATAGGGCTTAATTTGGGGCTCAAATGTTTTGTTTTCCTCCTGAGATGTTTTTGAATGGATAAGACTACTCTGGTTTTGGATGCAGCAACTTTTCTCCTGGCATGGAAGAACTAAGGACTTTGATAAACAGTTTCCCATTGATAGTATAATATAATGAGGGGCCCAGTCTGCTCTTGTGAAAATTGGCTGAGCGGCAGCAGCCCATCCCAGCTGTGTGTGAGTAGCCCCGCTGTTAAAAGTACACCTGCTGGGAATTGTTGGCACATGCTCATAGCATATGCTCTGTGGGGGAGGTGCTTTTAATTCCAAGAGGAGCTTTTCTCCCACATCTGCGGATGCAGAACAAAGATGCAGCAGGACTTTAGAAAACAGGAGTGTTTCTACTGACATTTTATTCATTGCTTTGTTAGTCCCGCAAATGGAGCAACTTCTGGTTGTTTGTAAGCAGAAAAACAAAACATTCAAAACCAAAAACCTAATTAGTACTTTTGTCCTTTATATCCCTAGGATGCTCTAGGGAGTAGAGGTGGCAGGCATCTTTATCTTCACCCACTGGCACATTAGCAGCTTATGCAACTTAGGAAGTCACTGGGAGATGAGTCCTAAAAGCCTGAATTTCAGGATGGGGAGGAGATAAGAAGCAGAGAACTTTGGGAGACCATGGGGCATTTAGTCCTGGCATAGACACAGAATGGATATTCACAGGAAGATTCCTGAGGCCAGATATGCAGGAGAGCACACATTGTCACAAGGGGTGTGGTGGGAAGAGAGGTGCTGGATGCCTAAGACAGACTTCTGTGCTTGGCAGATTGACTGAGTGTTGACTCTGAATACTTTGTGGTCCAGTCCATAATAGGCCAGTCACTCCTGCCTGATGCATCCCTGTTGCACTGTTCATAAAACCTGTATCATATGGGGAAGCTTCAAGGCTGGCAGGCTTTTCATCAAGTAATCATCATTCCATGTTCCTACGTATCCTTGAAATCAAAACCAGGCAATATGTGTGTTTTTGGTTTTGTTTTACAAAAAGGCATACAATGAGACGAATTCTTAAGATAATGCACATACAGAATCATCAATAAAGTTTCAAAGAGTTTATGAAGAAAAGGTATTTTCCTTTCTTGTAAAAAATGTTATATATATATAATATTCTGATCTGCATTCACCTTAGGGCTTAGCCTCTTATTTTATGAATTTTCAGGCTGTGATTTGTGTTGGATGGCTAAGCTCTAAAATAATGCAAATAGCCCCAATCTTTAAATATAGCGGTGCTAAGTTGAACAAGTAACACAATACAGAAAATGCTGATATGAATACTTAGTAATAATACAAAAGTTCCTGCTAAATTATATATGTGTATCACTGCCTGACTAGAAACCCCACTTTTCTTTTCTAATCCAGCACAAAATCAAACTCTGATTCTACAACCAGTCTTTTTAAAGGGCAAAAATGACTCAACACCTTTGTTTTGTATGGAAAACTTTTTTTTTTACACTAACTGCAAAACTGCTTTAAAAAAAGGCTTATTCAGGATAGATAAGCATGTACTCCTTTTTTAACTTGCTGGAAGACTTGCCCCTCCAAACTAGCACCCCCAAAAGACAACTTCTTTCAGAAACGGGGTGTTTTACCTAAACATAGTAGCTTACATGTTAGCCAGCAGTAGGTCGGCACTAGTGTTTTCCACGGTTATCACCTTTGACAGGTGATGTGCATCTATAGATAGTGGAAGCCACCCCATGAGGAGGTGTTAATAGCAGCATGGTTTCACTTTTGGTAATCAGGTAATCATGTGTATATACTTAGATTCGCATTATTTTAACATTTCTCTGCTACTCTGCACTTCAGGTTCGTTAAGCTATTTTAATAATTACTGGGGTTATGGCAAACACCAATGGAAATGTATATGGCAACTGCTTTCCTGAGCAAGTGTGATTTGTTTTATGGCTGTTCAAGTTATAAAATTGTTCTTACATTGTAGGTAAACAAAATCTTGATGTTTTTAAAGGTCACTGTAACTTAAGGTTCAAATTTCTGGCACAGTTTTATTAGTATTCACTTCGGAAGCTAATAAGATACCATGGTTTTCTATGTTACTCCCATTGTAACATTAGTAAAGTGACTTTCAATAAAAGATTTATGTTATTTTGATGCACGACTCTTCTTTTTCTCCCAGCTAGTTTCTCTTTCAGAAGCTTTGTTAGGGGTACAGTCAAGGGATTGTTTCTTTCCTGTTCACTGGTGTCCCAGAAGGGGTCACTAACATGATGAGAAATACAACCCTTTAGCAAAGCCTGAGTGCTCGATTTGTTGCAGTTTCCTCATCTGGATGGCAGAGGTAGTTTACTTATTTATCTATTTGCCTCTCCTTGTAAGCACTTCCTCTCTCACCCTAATGAGGATCAATTTCCTATATCCTGTCCTGTAGACCAGGCAGTGGTGCTTAGTTAATAAGGTCACCTGTGCTGCATTCTAAAGCACTGAGCCTAGGATGGGCTCATGAGTTCATTGCCTAAAAACTGTTCCACCCTGGCTTTTTCATCTTCCAGGCAGGCATTTTACCTACCCGTCATTATTCTGGCATTTGCGGGGTCCTTGCCATCTGTTCATAGGCTGCATAGTTAATAAGTTATAAGTAGTCAAGGTATTGTTTTAATGTGAGAAAAAGAGAAGGAAGTCACTGATGAAGGGTTTGTACATTTAGTATGAGATTTTAAAAGTTTATGGTGATTACACATAGCTCCATTTCTTGCATTTATAATATTTTAGTCATATAATAAGTCATTTAGATGAACACTGAAACAGTAACTCGGCTGAGCCAAAGCAAAGTCTAGTTCACAGATGGCAGCCAGCTCGTGGACTTGATGGTACCACCTGGAACATCATGCTGAAGGACAGTCTAAACTCCAGTTTGGCTCAGTAGAAGCAAGAGCTTTAATTTAATATGACTGCTGTGGTGCAAATCTACGCCAACTATCCCCAGGAAGCACCAGGTCTCTAGCAGCCACATTCCTATGGAAGTAAGTGCACGAAATGTGTTAAAAGTACTTCATAAATCATGGATCTCTTGAAACACATGAGTAAAGCACACATCTCCAAAATAAAATTAAATCCTAATGAGGGTGATTTGAGGAGCTTAATTCTCCAAATAGTTGAAGTATTCAAGCTTGAGCTCACAGCTTTACCATGCTCCAACTAGATTCTTTAAGAAAAAGTAAACAGACCAGGAAATAATTTTAAAGTAGTGGGTGAGGCTACACTAGAAGTATACAATGAATTAAACACAACCCAACATAAAATAGAAATAAGGCAACAGGAGATTTCACTTGTAATGAAGACTGGCTGTAATTAAAGGAGATGAATACATCAAATTTGTCAACGGGAAGGAAACTTTTTCTAACTGCAGGGACATACTGAAAACTATGCTCCATGCTTTTGGAAAGAATGGGTGAAAGCAGAAGGGGAGGAGATTAAGAGATTCGTTTTGAGGTATCAATAATTAAAACGGAATTAACTGAATGATGTCTAATATGGTTTGGCTCTGTGTCCCCACCCAAATCTCATCTCGAATTGTAATCCCCATGTGTCCAGGGAGGGACCTGTAAGCCTTACATCGAGGGAGGGAAGGGATTGGATCATGGGGGCGGTTTCCCCCATGATGTTCTTGTGATAGTGAGTTCTCATGAGATCTGATGGCTTTATAAGCATCTGGCACTTCCCTGCTTGCATTTCCATCTCCTGCTGCCTTGTGAAGAAGGTGCCTGCTTCCCCTCCCGCCATAATTATAAGTAAGTTTCCTGAGGCCTCCCCAGCCATGTGGAACTGTGAGTCAAACCTCTTTCCTTCGTAAATTACCCAGTCTTGGGTAATGTCTTTAGCAGTGTGCGAACAAACTAATATAATGTCAGAGGGATGCTTTTGTATTCACCCCAAAGCCAATTCAGAACCACAACTGATGCAGCACACCTTGGGACTTGTTCAAATATGGCCCATATCCTTCAGCAAGGGCCTTCTCTACTGCTTATCCTCAACCAGGAAATTACCATTTCCTTAAACTATGATTTCCTCAGAGGACCCTGGTGAGTTGAAACCAAACAGCAGGTGCTAGGACACTGAAGGTGAGCTCCCTGCCTCCTAATCCTCTGAGCCCCTTTTTGGCCCTTTTCTAGATAGCCCAGACTCAAGCAGAGCTTTATGGCCTCACAGACAATATACGGAGATGATGCAATCTATAGTCACTGTGTAATATATAGCAGGCTGCTTCACATTCTGATATGTAACCTGGGCTAACTAACTTGCCATAGTTATATGTTAGGTTTGAATAATATATATTTTAACAATATTTTAAAAAATTAATAGTGAAATGAGGCTAAAGATGCTTAGAGAAAATGTTTTATTTTCATTAGTTGACAACTAGTTGTTCAGTTGAATGGTAAGTTTCACACTGCATCCTAAAATAAGACAGATACTCTGCTGGCAAGTAGAAAATAGACTAATTTCATTTTTTATCTGTTAAGCTCTCTTGATAAAAAAGGCAAACCAGGCCAGTTTTAAATTTAAGAAACAGAAACATTGTCAGTGCTTCTTGTATCAACACACTTCATATTCAGAACTACTCCCAAGAGATAACATATTATCTCCTTTTCAAAGATGGGGAAACTGAAACTGGGCATTATCTATAATGACCAAACCACATAGTAAGAGGCACAAGCCAGCATTAGAATTCAGATCTTACTTGAAAGTGTACAGCTTAAAATTTTTTAAAAAATTCCTTCCATTATAAATGTAGTACCTGCTTACTGGAGAATGTTTGGAAAAGCAGTAAGAAGGAAGAAGATGAACTCATGATCCTGACTCCCAGTGGTAGCCAGATCAATGTTTTGGTACATACTTTCCGATACTCTGCTATGTGTATTTTTTAAAGTGTGAATACATGGTATATCAAAATGGATGTATCAGTATTTTAAAAACTAAAATCTGATTTTAAAAGGAAAGCATATAGAAAATCTGAAAAATACTGATATAAAGAAAATTAAAGTCATCTAGAATTCCATTCATCCAAAATAAACATTGTTAATATTTCCATATATTCCCTTAGTCTTTTTCTATCAATTTTCTTTTTATATAGTTAAGCTTATAATGTACAAGATTTTTAAGGAGAGTTAACAAAGGTTTAAATAGATGACAAAAAGGGACTTGGTGACAGATAGTATTTGCCAATCAAATTATTCAACAGGTTTTGAAGGGCGTGTGCTAAACTTCTAAGGTGAATCCTGACGTGGATTACTGGATTACCTTTTTTGTTGTTTTATTTCACCCAAGTGCGTCTATGTCATTTACCTAAGTTTTTATGTGTGGAGTATTCTTTGTAGGAGAGGAAAGATAACAGCTGTAGTCTGATTAACAGTTTTTAGTGTCTCACAATGAAAAATAAATAATGTGACTTAAACATTTTGCATACTTAAATTTACATAGAGTTTTAGCAAGAAAATAAGGCATGACTGATAATGGCTCAGGAAAGTTCTAAATGGTGTAACAGACTAGATCTTATTAAAGTTCCAAAGAATTTATTATCAAAACTAAAACAAAACTTCAGTTGTACATAAAGTAATAAACTTTACAACAGCTGTTAAGAGAAAGTCGTGATGTAAGTTTATACATATTACCGAAGGCAAAGAGGACAAGCAAAGGAGAGCTCCAGTTGGAATGTTGATTACATTCATGCAGCTTCCTCTTGATTTAAACACTCATGACACATTGAATGAACTGAAAGAAAAATCAGCATTATATGACAGACCTCAAAGCACTTATACGGCACAGCCTATTTCTGGCAGCTTACATTTGGTTTTCTAATTTGAACACGGGTAAAACAACCCCTACAACTTTCTAAGATATGAGTAAATGATAGATGGAAAAGTTTCCTTTTTTTAGGGAAGCAGTCTAATATAAAATCCACAGGGTTTCTCACATCAAAACTTCTTAGAGAAAGCAGATATAACTTCAATGGATAAATAATTTAAATAATTATTTGAATAATTATTTAAATTCCAAATAATATCCAAGACTAGAAATGGCCGTGGTCAAAGACACTTACCACAAACACAAACAACTGGAGTTTATACTGTTGTATTACGTGGGGATTTCCAAACCACACAGTATTACCCCATTACTCTAATGGAACACCTTAAACAGTTTATTGCCTTAAAATCTGCTTTATTAAAACAAATTGTAGCATGCAAGTGTATGTATGCACAGAAACAGAACAGCTAACCCTTCAGATACCTGAGATTAGAAATACCAGTATTTGCTGTGAAATGTTGGCTTCCCCGCTAAACATAAAGCAATAGATTCTGCTCTATCAGTGTTCCCTACACTACTAAGGTATTGTGCACTGCTAACCCTTGCAGCTCTATTGCAAGGTCAAGGTGATTATCCCTATTTTAGAGAAAAGGAAAATAAGGATCAGGATGTTTAGAAATCTTTTAAGTAGCCCCATCTGAAGTCAAAGCCCATGGTCTTTCTTTCCATTCCCCAGGCAGCCTTCTGATCTTTAGAAACAGCAAGGGGACTGTCAACTAAGAAGTTAACGCATGTTAAAGAGAACACACCCTTAAGCAGGTAAAATAAGCATATTCACACACACATACTAAGCTTTTAAAAGTGTACTTATAACTGCAGCAGCTGCTAAACCAAAAATACATGCATCTTATATTTTGTAATGGAGAATGGAATATTCAGTGATTACAGTCATTTCAATTCTACAAGTTTTTTTGTTTGTTTGTTTTTTGTTTTTAAATCAATGGCTGAGCAAAAACTGAAGAAACAAGTAACCAATCTCTCTAGCTTTGTTATATACATCCAGCTAATGCCATCAAAGATGGCACTAGGTTATGTTCACACTGATTACATGGCCTTACCCTACCCTTGTTTAGTTTGGCTGTTTAGTAAATAACTTGTTTTAAATTGTGATTTAGCCGGGAGCAGTGGCTCACGCCTGTAATCCCAGCACTTTGGGAGGCCTAAGCGGACAGATCACAAGGACAGGAGATCGAGACCATCCTGGCTAACACAGTGAAACCCCGTCTCTACTAAAAATACAAAAAAACTTAACCAGGTATGGTGGCACATGCCTATAGTCCCTCAGGAGGCTGAGGCAGGAGAATCGCTAGAACCCGAGACGTGGAGGTTGCAGTGAGCTGACATTGCGCCACTGCACTCCAACCTGGGCAACAGAGCGAGACTCCATCTCAAAAAAAAAAAAAAAATTGTGATTTAAGTTGTTGCCTGCCTTATGCCCTCAATGAAGAACATAGGTATGCAAAACTATTGAGCTGTTATCTATTCTCAGTGACTGACATGATTTGTTTACAGAAGACAAAAGCAGATAGTATATCTGCATAGTGTTTTTCAAGGGCATTTCTAATAGAAATCTTACAATGGCTCAGTGAAAAAGGCATTACTACTATATCTTCTTTATTCATATAGTGTCACAGCAATTAAGAAACCTGCTTAAGTGACCCAGCTAATAAATACAACAAGCTGGGTCTTGAACCCAGGTCTCTGAATGCAAATCAAATCATGGTCTCACTATAGTTAAGACTAATAAATGAAATTAATAAATTCTGGATGATAACTCTTTCTAACTTTTGAATCCCTTATGTCTCTGGCATCCTTAACCTTAAGATATTCTTAACAGCTAATTTCAAAGGGATACCCATCTGGTGTACATCCTTTTCATCTACTGTATCTCTTAATTTCTAAGACTTACATCATCATATGGGAAATTCACAACACCTTGCTGAGCAGTATCCCGTCTTCGAAAGCTGTCTGTAAAACAACACAGTAAAATTTATGGTTTTTCTTTAAATGGTTTTTCTAAAATCATAAAAGTTAGTTATTTTGGCATTGAATTCACATTGCAGTAACATTTAAATTGTGCAACCAATTAACATAAACAAAAGACCAAAGCAAAGAAGCCAACTATATGAATAGTAAAAGATTTAATATGCAACAAAGTAACAGGCAGAAGTTGGCCAGCTGTGTTTTTTGTTTTTTTGTTTTTTTAGATCTGGAGAAAATACCTTACCCAAAGTCAGTAAAAGCTGTGCAACTTCCATGGCCATTACTTCATTGTGATAAAAGCACCGAATTTCTAGCTTCTTAATAACAAAGATACTGCTTAAGAAACAGATAAAGAGTCCCCAATATAACAAATGGGCTGTAATCAGTTTCTCTACCATTTCAGCTCTGCCCTATAGAAAAGGATTTTATTTTAATTTCACTCTTTCCAAATATTTCACATTCTGGGGAAAAATTCATTATTATCTGATCAAAAATGCACAAGTTAGCTGATTGTGTTTTAGAACATTTTAGTAAAATTTAATTGTTTATTTTAATGGCAGATTACTTACTAATCTAAAATAAATTCTGGAAAAAAAACCAAAAAATTATTTTGCCAGATATGCTTAATAGTAATCTGAAAAAAACTACTAAAGCAAGAAAAAATTTGGGAAGAATAAAAGTTGAGAAGCACTGAGAGATGAAATGTAATAAAAACTGTGTCTTGGCTTGTGGTGATGACACGACCTTATAGAACTCACCTGTAAGAGCCCTCAGTTTGACGCAGCAGGCGATGTAGTCGTCGAAGGTGATCTTTCCATTGGTGCTGTATCGTTTTGCAATTGAATTCACAGCCTGGGGACTCAACCTAAATCCTAAAAGAAAAGCCATCCAGTAAAAAGGTTAAAGGATTGCAGAAGCTCATTAAAAAATAAAATAATCAAGCACTATTTTATTTTTTAAGACTGCAGACTCATATTAATTATGAACACACACAATTTCTAAGAAAACAGAAACTGCCTTCAGGTAGCAATTATTTATTTATTTATTTATTTACGAGAGGGAGTCTCACTCTCGCCCAGGCTGGAGTGCAGTGGTGTGATCTCGGCTCACAGCAACCTCTGCCTCCTGTGTTCAAGTGATTCTCCTGTCTTAGCCTCCCGAGTAGCTGGGACTGCAGGTGCATGCCACCACGCCCAGCTAATGTTTCTGTATTTTAGTAGAGTCGGGGTTTTACTGTGTTGCCCAGGCTGGTCTCGAACTCCCGAGCTCAGGCAATCCACCCTCCTTGGCCTCCCAAAGTGCTGGGATTACAGGTGTGAGCCACTGCACCCAGCCTGGTTTTAAAAATAAAAATCAACTTACTTCTACCAATGAATGGAGAGTTCTAGTAAGCCATACCTACCCATTGTTGTCAGGGCCTTCTGCAATTCTTGTGGGTCTACTGTTCCACTCCTGTCAGTGTCAAAACTGATAAAGTGTTGTCTCCAGCCATTCAGTACAGCCCAGAGTTCTTTAAATTCATTGAAACCCATTGTGCCAGACATATCTCTCTGAACTGTAATCAAGGATTAGAGCTGTATTTTGCGATATTTTCTAAGGATTAAATGAAAGATCAAGGATAAGGGGAATTCAATATTCAATGGCTAAAAAAGTTATTGTAGATTATTCTTGGTATGATGTAAAATTAATGATTTAAAAATAGAAAGGGGCTATGGAGAAAAAGCTCAAGTGCCAATTTTTACTGTGGGGAAAAGATAACTTACATGACTTGATTATAAGGAAATAGCGTTGCCATTGTGAACCACTTATAAAAAGCGGTCTTGTTACTGGAACTAGGCTGTACTTTGTGGGTGCTTCAGGCTATGCTGTTTGCCCTTCTGTCCTAGCATCATCTCTGGTACTAATATTCCCTTGTTTAGTGCCCCCAGACAAATGAGGTGGGATGGAATGCACTGGATAGTCAGCACTACCTAAACTCAGTCCAACAAGTGGGATGTGAAAAATCCCATCACTTGCAGAGGAATCAATGTTAAAGAAAAAAAGCTGTCCTGACACTCTGGACTCTGTACTTGTTCTATAATACTCTGATGTTTCCTTAAATTCCTGAACAACATTCTGTTTACTAAATTTCTTTTCTTCCTTTATTCACACCAAATTCCACCCTATAATAGAAGCTAATTATTTCAGAAAGCTTTTTAGTGATCATTTATTACTTTGTGTTTACTAGATATTAATTCTAAGATGAATTCCTTTAGAATTTTAGAAAAAATTATTCTAGACAACAATCAAAGTAAAGGATACATCCAGCATTGAAACCATAAGCCGGCAAGTCTCCAGGTTAAAAGCTGTTAAATCAAGAAAAGTACATACATATTAACACAAATCCAAAAATTCACATTACACTGGATACATTCAAATTAATTAGAAATATGATTATTATACACTTTTATTTTTATATGCTATCAATTTACGTGTGACTAATCATATGGAACTTCAAAGTAGCCTTTTCTCCATAAAGAAGATTTTTTGCTAGGAACCCAAATTTGATTTAAATAACTTTGACAGAATTCCTTTTAAAAAGTATTACATAGTCCGGGTATGGTGGCTCACGCCTGTAATCCCAGCACTTTGGGGGGTGCCGAGACAGGCGGATCACCTGAGGTCAGGAGTTTGAGACCAGCCTGGCCAACATGGCAAAAACTCGTCTCTACTAAAAATATAAAAATTAGCCAGGCCTGGTGGCACACACCTGTAATCTCAGCTACTCAGAAGGTTGAGGCAGGAGAATTGCTTGCACCTGGGAGGAGGCGGTTACAGTGAGCTGAGATCATGCCACTGCACTCCAGCCTGGGTGACAGGGCAAGACTCCATCTCAAAAAAAAAAAAGTATTACATAGTACTGTTCATACTTTCTTGCTTTGAAACTGTAATATAGCGAGTTCAAGTCACCATAACGAACCATAATGTATTATATCCAACATGGTGGGTGGGAAGTCAGGGTTGCTTTGTTCCTACTCATAAATGACTATAAATTGCTGGTTTTGCTAATTTTGTGTCTGATTACTTGTTTTTCTATTTTCCCTTCAATGTCAGGTACTGAGCAGTAACCTCCTACCTCAAATAGTCTATGACCTCTTAGCTTATATATGAAACCAGATAAATATGGTTGTTAGAATTATGTGTTAAATAAGAGTACTCTAGATAAGACCCCATGACCAATTCAGTGGTGGCCACTATTCAGAAGCCTTTTTAATTTACCTACAGTTTAGGAGTATTATGAGGGCATTTTGGTACCTCACTTATGTAACCAAACCAGAGCACATGCAATGGGTGTGGTTACTGGTAACCTAAGCATTAGGAAATTAAAAACCACCTCTTACATTGAATTAATGGGAATCAATGACTGAAGAAATTGTATAGGTACAAAGAAGCTACAACGCTAAATGGCAGAAGTGACAAGGGTCACGTGGGAAAAGCTGGTATAAATTCTGCAAGCTTGTTAACACACAGAACATTTTTAACAGCTCTTTGTAGCTTCATATTTTTTCTCAAACCAAACTGAAATTAAAACACAACTGCGCTCATTACTGTAATGTCTCCCAACAGTGCAAACTATAGGTTTTACACATTTAATAGATTCCTGTGTTTGGCATATGCTTTACTGGAAATAAAAGACTAGTGACTATTTCTATTTTGGTCCTTCAATCTCCATTTGATCCACAGATAATATTCTCTGAGGTGAGAGGAGGAGGAAGCACTTTTTACAGTTTGGGAAAGAGCTGGTAGATTCTTCATTCTGACTTTTAAGTTGTGTGGAGGTATGAAGTCCCTCTAATCTGGAGCTGTAGTTCTCCACACTTGTGCTTATCTGAATCAAAGCTTTAAAAGATTCTGATACCTGGGCTGCACCATAGAACAATTAAATCAGGAACTCTGAGTGTGGGACCCAGGTATTTGTATTTTTAAAAAGCTTTTCAGATGATTCTAGTGAGCAGCCAAGGTTGAGACCACCATTCTACTCAAAGTGTGATTCCTGGACCAGCCATATTAGCATCACCCAGGAGCTTGAAGAACTGCAGAATCTCAGCCCTTACCCTACACCAATAAAATCAGAAGCTGAATTTTAGCAGATGTGCAGGTGATAGATATTCATGTTAAAGAAGCTGGTTCAACCTGAACCAGCATCACATGGAAACCTGTTAGAGGTGAAATTCTCAGGACTCACTCCAGACCTCTGAATGAGAAACTCTAGGGCATGACCCAGCAATCTGGTTTTTGTAAGCTTTCCAGGTGATGCCAATGCTGCTAAAGTTTAAGAACTGCTCTGGACGGCCTGACAACCACAGCGCAGAGCCAACTGTGTTGGGCTCACATGAAGGTATTGAAGGGGCTATGAGGCAGACAGCTTCTCTGTCTCTGTTAATGAATGGCACCCCCATCCACTCAGCAGTAACCCAAGCCAGAAACCTGGGAGCCTCCTCAATTCCCTCTCCACCAATAATCAATCACCTTCTAAACAGCTGTAGAGTCCATTTCCAGCCCCACTGTCTCCTTAGTTAGCATTTCTCTCACCTGTATGACTCCAGCAGCTCCCTAATGGGCATCCCTGACTCTTGTTTTACTTCCATGTCCCCCAATTTATTAGTCTTTACAGTCAGGGGTAGTATGTGCTCTCCTATGCAAAACCCAGTATCAGTGATCTACTGCTCTCAGGATAAAGTCCAAGCACCTTAACTGGTACATAAGGTAACACACTTATTTTGCAAGTCAGGCTCATCTCTTACTCTTGTTCAACCCCGTACACTATCTTCATGGAGAATTTCTCAATTTCTTGACTGAACCACGCTATTTCTGGGTCTTCTGCACATGCTGTTCTAACAACCTAGGACACAACTTCCCCATCCCACTCACTTCATGGTCGGCCTCATTTCTGCTCAGCTTAGGTATCAATTCTGCAAGGAAAACTTTCCTGACTCCTGTCTGGGTTATGTGCCCATTCTATGTGATTCCACAGCCTCTCTCTTATCCCAGTGCTTTTCCCAACACCCAGGCATTGATTGTGGCTACAGAGCCAGCACCTAGCTCATAGGAAGTATTCACTAAAAATGCACTGGTATGGATGGATGGCACCAAATTCTCACCCCCACGCAGGAAGCTGTAGAGCCCTGCACTTTATATGTACAACCCTCTTAGATCGTCTAAGAAGGAATGTTTTTTGAATAAAATTTTCTAATCTTTACTAATGCTCAAAAATTAATGTATAATCTTAAATCAAAAAGCCAATAAGGCTACAGGGCTATAATTTTTCTGACACAGAAAATTTTCCATATTCATTAACTCAACAGCCACTGTTAAGTACTTATTATGTTCAGGGCTCAGGGTAACAGGAACTTTGCAGATACAGTTGTGAAACTGCATACCGTCCTAGCTGACAGTCTAAGGAAAAGATAAGTCACATACACATATAACCCTAATCATGGTAGAGTGCTGAATTATAATGGAGGGGCCAGAAAGTACCAGAAGGGATTGAGAAGTGAGAAGCTCCTTCCCAGTAAGAGAATCAAGAAAGACTTTATAGAAGACAAAGAATTTAAGCCAAGCCTTGAATGACAAGAATGATGGGGGCATTTGGTGACAGCTAAGGACCAGCATAAGCAAAGAGAGAAGTAGAAGGCCTAGGACAGGCAAAGCGTAAGTGAATAGCTCAATATGACTTTCAAAGAGTACAAAAGGAGTGGGAGAAAATATGTTTGGTCAGGGGAGGGTGCATTACAGAGGACCTTGAATTCCTTCTAAGCTGTTAGTAAAGACTGAGGAGGAGAGGGACAGATCAGGAAGATCAGGAATCTGGTCATCTTTTGTGAGAAGGATCTGAAAGGGCAGTGAGATGGCAGTGAACAAAAGTGAATGAACAAAAAATACACCATTCTAGACAGTTCCAATGAACTAGAACGCTGATGTCCAATAAGTTTTGGTAAGGAAAACTCTTTCTCAATTTTGTTAATAATATAGCTTTTATTAGTGTTAATTCTATTTTAAATAATTATTTAAAATTAATTAAAATTATAAGTATTATATATTAGTTACGTAAATGTAACTACATATAATTATAACTATAAATTATAATTAAAATTATTAATTCAACATTTTGAAATTATTTAAATTAAATAATGTTAATTTTAATAATTTCCAAAGAATCTCTGCTGTAATTTACCTTTACTCTTTTTCTTCTCTTCTGTTCATTCTACTAGAATGCCTCAAACATCTTTTCTTCTCACAGAAACATACAATATAATGGACCTAGAAGGAAAGCCCTACCTCCAGCTGTTTCTCTCAACCTTATCACAGACGAACAACTAAATTCAGGGAAAAAAGAGAAGCTGAATTACAATCTTACTGACTGGAACACAACTTCTCTCACCAACTCCACCTCTAGGTATGACTGCTTCCTTTTAAACTGGTTAAGAAGGGCCCATAGGCTCTGAGCTGGAGTATCCCACCTGCTCATCCAATTCGGACCTGTGCTTTTTGGTTTGGAAGTTGGGTTTAAAAGACTAATGGCCATATAATATCTGCATTACAAAACACTGACACCTCATAGGCAGGATGGTTCTGTGGTTCAGTACGGCCACCAGAGAGTAGGCAAATGGATTCAATCACATAGGCCCCATGATTCAGGAAATGCTTTCTCTTTAATGCATTGATCTAAGGCCATCACTAAATGTGGCTTTCTCAATGAAATTTTAAAAGGACTGCTCTCTAACAATATACAACCCATTTTGTTAGTCAGATTCTAAAATCTGCCACACCTCATCTACTGAAAGGATGTAGAATAACAGGCCATGCTGTGATCTCACTGCACTTTGATAAACCCTGCTAATAGGCAGGCCTACCTTGTTTACCAGCTCAATTGCGTAACAATTAACAATTTAAATGTACTGCCTACACAGTAAAGAATAACATCCCCTAATCCAAAAAGTGCTTATTTTGTTTAGGACTAGATTAAATAACAGGAACTTGAAAGGTTCTTCGTTTGTATTAATTCCTCTAATTAGGAAAGAGTAATAGGATACTAAAGTCACATAAAACAAAGGATAATGAAAACAAATGCAAAGAGTTCAAAGACAGCCATCTAATACATGCCATGTCAAATAGTTTTTAAAAAAAGGCCACTATAAATTCACAGCTGTGAATTCTAGTTTGAACATTTTAATCCACAGCTAACCATGAAATTGGGTCTTCAATTTGATGTTTTGTCTCAATTAACAACTGGCAAAGAAGTTGGTAATGTATTTGAACTAAGACATTATTCTCTACCCTGGAAATCTATCATGTTCAAGATCTAATTTCAAGAGGAACCACTTCATATGTGTTGGATGATGAGAAGCCCCCAGTTGGGATGCAGCAATTTTTTGGATTTTCTGAGACAGGCTGTCACCCAGGCTGGAGTGCAGTGGCACAATCTTGGCTCACTGCAACCTCCGCCTCCTGGGCTTGTATAATCCTCCCACCTCAGCCTCCTGAGTAGCTGGGACCACAGGTGCATGCCACCATGCCTGGCTAATTTTTAAATTTTTTGCAGAGACAAGGTTTCACTATGTTGCCCAGGCTAGTCTTGAACTCCCGGGCTCAAGCAATCCTCCCACCTCAGTCTCCTAAAGTGCTGGGATTACAGGTGTGAGCCACTGTGCCCTGCCAGGGATGGAGCATCTTTGCAGTATTTCATTACTCTCAGCTCATGGCAGAGTGTTCAAAAGGCAGGGGTAGGGTAAGGGCTGAATTATGGAGCAGCAGGTCCAGTAAGTAGAAAGGCCACTTCCCACTTAGCCTGAATACATTCTATGAAGTGGAAGAGGAAAGACCTGAGGGATGTCATGGCAACCACTTATGTTAGCAGGAGCATGCCCAAAGCTCAGAGACCAGGAGTGCAGGATAGGCCACTCAGGGACCAGGGGTGCAGGGCAGCAACTCAAAGCCCTAAGTGCCACCAGGTCAGGGCAGAGTAGGCTCTTGGCAAATAACAGTAAATATCAGTTCCTAATGTCAGTTAATGACCCCTGACCTGGCAGATTCCATTTCAGCACCCTACCTTGTCCTCTGTGAAGGAGGCCACCCAAACTGTCTCACTGGTTCTAGGTACACAAAACCCAAATCTGAGAAATCCACTAGATTGGCAGGTAGGATGGAATAATTTATTATTATTATTATTTTAAAGACAAGGTCTTGCTCTGTTGCTCAGGCTGGAGTGCAGTGGTACAATCATAGATTACTGCAGCCAAAAACTCTTGGCTTCAAGCGATCCTCCTGCCTGGGCCTCTGAAGTACTGGGATTACAGGTGTGAGCCACTGTGCCCAGCCTGGAGTGATTTAAAAACTGTTTTCAAATCAACATTTTGAAATAGTACTGTATTTTAGCTTTCGGAATTCTAAACTTTGCTAGATCCGACAAGCTCAGTTTTCTTGAAGGCTGTAATCACAAGTAACAGCTAAGATAGGAAACACAAGAGTATATTTAGACAAACTTTGGGACTGTCAACTTACGTTTGTATCCTCCAGCAATGCCAGACTGTGTCAGACATCTCTGCAATTCATCAGCATCTATCTGCCCATCCTTTTGAAAAAAAATTAGAGGAATCATAATAGTGATTTGTACTTTCAAGTTGTTTACCTTCAGCATTCAATGAAGCAATAACAACAAAGAAAATCAGTATCTTTTTTTTATTTAAAAGGAATGCCTTTTTTTTATTAAAAGGAATGCCTTCCAAAAGTGGGCATTCTTTTCCTTAACCCACTTCCAAAAGTAATTTAATGATGAAAGAAAGAGTCTGTCTTGGCAACTACTCTTCTCTCAATCTGAGCTAGCAAACTGCTACAGCTAAACATTTTAAAATATTTTTTTTTGATGGGGGTGGAGAGAGCAAGGTACAAAGCAGACATCAATAAATAGAAGGCTTGGTTCAAACAGAAAAAGGCCTCCTTGGTCACTTTTTCTTATGATATAGTGAATCATTTTTTTCAGAGCACAAATACATCTGGAAGATTCACATTAGGTTCCCAGTGCCCATTCACTGGCTGAACTGGGAAAGAACTAGATATATGTGATTTTTAGGGACTTTAAAATAAAATACCTAAATCTTCAAGTCACTGGGTATTATAAGTTATAAATGAGGAGCAAGATCAGCAATTTGAAAGACAATGGGTATGCTGAATACAGGCCAGGGCTGCTGAAAGCTAAGCAGGTGGAGTCACTTACATGCTGGAGGCACTGGCAATCTAAGAATGCTAGTCTTGAGGTTTGCCATGCCTTGTGGTTTCAAAGATACAGATCATTAACAGTTTAAGTAGATACTTAAGGGGAAGGTCTTCCAGTTTTAGACTATATTTTCCATTCAATTTCTTAAGCTGTATTTCTTAGAGTACTACCTTAAAAGTGGTCTTAGGTTTTTTATCCCATAATATTCTACAGTTTTCACATTAAGATTTTGCTATTTCTAGCTTTTGGTCAAAACAAAACTAGGTTGAATTCATAAGAACAAACATCTCCTCTGGACGTGTCTGGGTTATACCAACAGTATATTTACTGCACACAGTGACCTCATGAACTAGGGAAGTGTCCTCTCTCAATGTAAGATAGCACCTGTCAATGTAAGATAGCACCTGTCATACAACTCAGAATGCAGACAAGTGAAAGGTCTTGGGGAGCTGACCTTAATTGCTTCTCTGGGTCAACAGGCCAGAACACCTAATAAGGACATGGAGGGGCTGACCTAGTAACAGCATCTGCATCAAAGAGAAACTACACTGTTCACAAGATTAACTTTCTGATACTAAGAAGGGAACAGTAACTTCCTTATTTAGAAGCTGGTGGGTTTTTACCATATTTCCTAAGGGGGTGAATGATTAGCAATCAAGTTCAACCCAAAGAAAGTGCCCATTAGAATCGAGCTATGTAATTACTAATATATGTCTTTAAGTTGTACAAACAAGCGTTTATATTTACCAGATCTTGAATTTTTTCGCTTGAAACCATCCTGGACCCTTTAATTCAACCACAAGTTTGCTTTCGAACTGAACTCACATAAATACGAGTAACACTTTGTCCTCATTTATTCTGAACATTCAGAAATAAAAAACTAAAATAAGAAACAACTTTTTTTTTCTTTTGCAGAAGCAAAGGGACTCAGTACCACAGGAAGTTCGCTTTTCTGTGTCACTATATCAAAAGCTACCACAAATGCAGACAATAACGGCTCTTTAATATTAAAGGGAAAAGCTAACCTGTCCAGCTACAGCAGCAAAGTAACCATACAGCGGATCCTGAGTTTGTCCGGGAAACGCAGGCCCTCCGGGAGCCCCTCCATACTGTGAAACAGGAAACACATACACGTCATTCTGCCGAATCAAGTTTTCTTCTTTCACCACTGAGGGCTTTTGTGCAAGGCCAGACAACTGCCCGCCTGCCCGCCCTTCACAAGGCTCACCTCCCCACCACCGGGCACACTCTGCCAACACTCCACCCCTCTCTTCCATTCACACCCCGTAATTTAAAAACTGGCGACTTAGACCATAAAGAGTTGCTGTGAAAGTGATGTCTACATATGTAAAGCAACTTTTAAAATCCCTATTAACCTGAAGGTTACTGAGGTGAGTGCAAACTAGGTAAGCCAACGAATGGCAGGGCTTCAAATTCTCCTTTTGTTGTTACAGCATTTATGGTATTTTAAGAGCGTTTTATGAACGATGGAAGGCTGGAGTTGGTAACATTCTGAGACGGGTGTAGCCTAGGGAAGAGTAAGGTGTCCGGCCGGGCTGTATCTCGTGGGTGGCGAGGGAACATTGCCTGTCTCGGAAACAGTTCCCAAGACAACGCGCATCCCAGACGCCCGGCGAGGCTGCCTTCCTACAGGTCTTTTACTTCAGCAGGTTTTCCCTTTTTTTCCGTCCCCCTTCTCACTCGTTTTTTGTTTGTTTGTTTGTTTGTTTGTTTGTTTGTTTTTTAAAGGGAGGAAGGTATATCATTCTAGAATAAAATGACTGTTGTTGCTCTGGGAGGCAACCAAGAAGGCGGGGGTGGGGTGGGGTGGGGGTCAGCCAACACCCAATTAACACGATTTCACGCCGCGTATCCGAGAAGCCGCAGGGTGGGCTTCTAGGGTCCCAATCCACCCTCACCTTGGCCCCGCAGGGCCATCCAGGAGAAGGGACGGGGAAACGTGGGGAGAGGCCGAACCCCAGGGGCCTAGGGCGAGGCCGCGAGCGCAGGGAGAAGCCGAGGGCGGAAGGAGCCCGGGTAGCCGCCCAGCAGCGCCTCACCCCGCTGGCCGCAGCATCTCCAAGGTGGCCTCTTAGCGCCCCGGAGCCGCCTGGGCCGCGATCCCGCGCAGTCAGCACTTACCCCGCCTGGGTAGTACCCGCCGCCGGCGCCAGGATGCCCCGGGTACGCCATGCTGCAGACTGCGCCGCAGCCGCCCTCGCCCTGTGCGCCAGGCCTCTCCGCCCCCTGCCCCGCCCCGCCCTGCCGCTAGGGGGCCGCCCCAGAGCGCACCACGCGGGCGTGGGGGACGCGCTCCGCAGTCGTCTCCAGCTCTTGCCTGTGCGCGCGGCCGTGGCTCCCCTGCCTGCGCGCTTCTTCGTATCTTTGCCATTACGGCGCTAATGCAGTGCACGACTGAAGGTCCAGTGGCGGCCTACGACCTGCGAGGCAATTCACACCAGGGACTTTCCTCCCTCCAAAACTAATGGCACATTCCAACACCAATACACCACCCCAGGAATTCTTTTTTTTTTTTTTTCCTTCGGACTTGGCTATTATCTGGCACATTTCTTATTTTAAACAACTTTATTGGACAGGACGGAGCTATTATAAGCGGAGCGCACCATCGCGAGGCAGGGGCTGGATGCGTTAGGGCAAGCCTTAGGTGCCAGTGGGTGAAGGAGTCTTTGAAAGATGGAAATACGAAAGCGCCCTTGGAAAATAAGAATTAACTTGACGAACTGTGTGCAAGGGAGAGTTTGGCTTGCTGTTGGTTGCAGAGTTCACTGAACGACAACGGCGTATTTCCTTCCTAGGGGACAATTCCTTGCCTGTTTAAGCTGAGCGTGACTTGTGTCCTGAGTAGGACAGAGGGCATTTTCCGGGCAGGACAGACTCACACATATCGTTCTTAGGAAAATGAATTGTTTGAATTATCTGGATGATTCAGACAAAACAATCCATTTCCCTAAAAGTATTCAGCTACTTTTTATATAAGAAAAGTTTAGAACAAACTAATAGTGTACTGGTAAGTATTCAGGAAGATAAGAGATAGGAACTTCTATGTAGGTTATTCTTCTTTACTTCATATATTTTTCTATCTTCCAGTTGAATAGTCCGAAGCAATTCAGGCGTGAGCTTTTTGTTTTGTTTTGTGTAATTTCAATGACAGAAAATTGCTTGCCCTTCACTGTTAAGGACTAGACTTAATGATTTCCTGAATTTTAACGTATTGAGAAACGCATTAATAAGCAAGATTCACAGTATTTGTTGTGGAGGTTGCACAGAAACATTTAAAGGGTCATCAACATTTCACAAATATTGGAGCACCCGCCAATGTGGTACTGTGCTTTTTCGCTGTGGTGGACGGGCTTCCTCCATTCTAAATTCGTGGGCTATTGTCCTCATTCGGTTCATTGTTTTTCTCTTGTGTGTAACTTCCCTCGCAAGCCCTTTTGAAAACCAAAGTCCGAATTGTGAGAAAAATTCTAATAGTCCCTGTTGTGGCATAGCAAAGACACTGCATGTTGCCTGTTTTGTGTTTGATTCAGGAAGCAGGTTACTGTTTTCAATCATCAAGGTAGCAATCATCAAGGTAGATGAGACATCTAATGAGTCCCCTGGTCTCTCTTTGGAAGCCTGTTTCTTCAGAAAGAGGTAACCGACTATAAAGAGTAGATGTCAGGGCCGAACTCGATGTTGAGTACAAGCTCAAGACTCAAGTTTGAAAGAAGTATAAAGCATATAAAATATTTTTAAGTACTGCAGAATTAGCTTCGTGGATAAACGGCTATACGAATTGGCATATCAGTTGTCCTTAGACATCTTCCCACTGCTTTACTGCTAAAGAATTGAATTTTTTTTTTAATTACACTTTAAGTTTTAGGGTACATGTGAACATTGTGCAGGTTGGTTACATATGTATACATGTGCCATGCTGGTGCGCTGCACCCACTAACTCGTCATCTAGCATTAGGTATATCTCCCAATGCTATCCCTCTCCCCTCCCCCCACCCCACCACAGTCCCTAGAGTGTGATATTCCCCTTCCTGTGTCCATGTGATCTCATCGTTCAGTTCCCACCTATGAGTGAGAATATGCGGTGTTTGGTTTTTTGGTCTTGCGATAGTTTACTGAGAATGATGATTTCCAATTTCATCCATGTCCCTACAAAGGACATGAACTCATCATTTTTTATGGCTGCATAGTATTCCATGGTGTATATGTGCCACATTTTCTTAATCCAGTCTATCATTGTTGGACATTTGGGTTGGTTCCAAGTCTTTGCTATTGTGAATAATGCCGCAATAAACATACGTGTGCATGTGTCTTTATAGCAGCATGATTTATAGTCCTTTGGGTATATACCCAGTAATGGGATGGCGGGTCAAATGGTAATTCTAGTTCTAGATCCCTGAGGAATCGCCACACTGACTTCCACAATGGTTGAACTAGTTTACAGTCCCACCAACAGTGTAAAAGTGTTCCTATTTCTCCACATCCTCTCCAGCACCTGTTGTTTCCTGACTTTTTAATGATTGCCATTCTAACTGGTGTGAGATGGTATCTCATAGTGGTTTTGATTTGCATTTCTCTGATGGCCAGTGATGATGAGCATTTTTTCATGTGTTTTTTGGCTGCATAAATGTCTTCTTTTGAGAAGTGTCTGTTCATGTCCTTCGCCCACTTTTTGATGGGGTTGTTTGTTTTTTTCTTGTAAATTTGTTTGAGTTCACTGTAGATTCTGGATATTAGCCCTCAAACTATACTACAAGGCTACAGTAACCAAAACAGCATGGTACTGGTACCAAAACAGAGATATAGATCAATGGAACAGAACAAAGCCCTCAGAAATAACGCCGCATACCTACAACTATCTGATCTTTGACAAACCTGACAAAAAGAAGAAATGGGGAAAGGATTCCCTATTTAATAAATGGTGCTGGGAAAACAGGCTAGCCATATGTAGGAAGCTAAAACTGGATCCCTTCCTTACACCTTATACAAAAATCAATTCAAGATGGATTAAAGATTTAAACGTTAGACCTAAAACCATAAAAACCCTAGAAGAAAACCTAGGCATTACCATTCAGGACATAGGCATGGGCAAGGACTTCATGTCCAAAACACCAAAAGCAATGGCAACAAAAGACAAAATTGACAAATGGGATCTAATTAAACTAAAGAGCTTCTGCACAGCAAAAGAAACTACCATCAGAGTGAACAGGCAACCTACAAAATGGGAGAAAATTTTCGCTACCTACTCATCTGACAAAGAATTGAATTTTAATGGAGTGTTGCAAATTCAATTCTTACAATTATTGCTAACAAATTGGTCAGCTGCTAATACTTTAGTTTGCTGGAAAAAATTGTGGCAACTTATAATACCATCAGACATATATATAATAATAAAAATATGCCAGATCCTCATCGCATTTTACTTATTTGCTTAATCTTAATAAAAACCCATGGGATAGGTACTATTGTCATTCCTATTATACAGTTTTGAGGAAGGGGAAGGAACAGAACAGAGCTGAGCTATGCTGCCAAGCCATCTGACTCTAGAGTCTGTGCTCTACACCCAGGGGCAGGTAAAGGGCCAGGTAGTAAATATTTTAGGCCTGTGGGCCATACAGTCTCTGTATGAGAGAGTCTACATACATAGTGGTATGTAGACTATGTAGTCATAGTGGTATGGCCAAATACCACTCAACTCTGCTGTGTAGGCCACAAGTATCCATAGACAATAGATAAATGAATGGATGTCGCTGGGTTCCAATGCAACTTTATTTATAGACACTGAAATTTGAATTTCATATGACATGAAATATTATGCTTAATTTTATTTTTCCAACCATTTAAAAATGTAAATATTATTCTGAGCTCTTGGATGTACAGAAATAGGAGGTGGGTCAGATTTGGCCTTTGGGCAGTAGTTTACCAACCACTGCTGGAAGCCCCTCCAGAATGCGGGCTTATGACTCTGGCAGTTTAGCACTTTAGCAAATGATTTGCTGACTGTAAGATAAAGCCTATGGGTAGAATACAGTTATTTGTCAGAACGATTTACTAAGTCCTAAAAAAAAGACTGTAGGAGGGTTGTGACAACAGCATGGGTTAGGGAGAGAACTATGTGAGGTTTATAGATAGGATGCAGGTCATGGTTATTTTGGGAAGTCATTGGAATTACAGAAACCTTTCTGATCATATACTCCAATCCTGCTGTTTACAGAAGAAAAGACCAAGGCTGAGAGATGGCAAATATCTGGCCCCAGCTCTTGAAGAGCAGACCTAGCCAGATGTAGATATTTCACCCTTCCCAATTAAAGCTGTGACAGTAGATAAACATGCTCTCAGAGAGAATCCCATTCTTTTGTGGTACACCTTCCCTAATTATGTTTTCAAGACAAACGGCAGTGTGGACACTTTCTTATTCCTGGAGAAAAGTTAATATAAAGCTCTACATATAGTATCCAACCTGGACTTCTTCGCTCAGATAAGTGGTGAAAGAAATAGTGTCTAACTAAGTAACTGTAGTTATTTCACCATACCTGCAGTTGAATTAACCATAGGTCTTCACTTGTTAGGAAGAAATGAGCAATGACATTTGCCAATTTAAAGTTTCAATTTTTGTTTAGTTCTGATCTGGGTGTGGCACCTCATGATTTAAAGACCTCTGCCTTAGAGAGAAGCTCAGATCTCCAAATGTAAGTGGAAATGAGCATTTGATAACAACATAGGTAACCAATTAATAGTATCTCCACTTTCTTAAGATTGTTGGGAAAGAGTGTGAAGCCTATGATGTTCATTTGGGAATAAAAGCCACCCTTTTTCTTGAACTGTCCGGAGTAAGAGCTCAGTTAATCATGCTATTATGTAATTTTTTCAAGGGATAGAAAACTTCCACTATTGATGTTTTAGTGCTTGCATGTAGAGTTTAACTGGTCCCTGGCATATTGTAGATGGTAATGAATCATCAACCACAGCTCTTCAAACAACTTCTGCTACAATAGAAATGTTTGATAACTATGCCACACAATAACTAATCACATATGGCTATTGAGCCTGTGAAATGAGGAACTAAAATTTTAATTTAGTTTAATTTAAAATGGAATAGCTGTGTGGCTAGTGCTACCCTCTTGAACAGCACAGGGACCCTTTCATCTGTGTTGGCTTCCTCCTCCCTGGAACTCAGAGAAAGCAAACTCATTCTACTTGCCTGGAATAGGCATGATAAGCAAGATAAATCAGTTATTAACAAAACACAGCAAGGGCAGTCATCAGCTCTGTGACAAACGTTCCCATGTTCCTGTTCCTACAGAATAGATTCTCACTGACCTGTTCCTTCCCTTAATGAAGCTCTGAGCTGGAGTTGATGATCAGGATTAACCAGGAAGCTGATGTTGGAGGAATTTATTATGGCTAAATATATATGCCTATATACATATATGTGTATGTATGTATATCATTGTACATATGTAAATATATGTGTGTATTTTTACAAACACACACACACTTTATATATATACTTTCTTATCATTAGGGCTGTCAAAAATGACCTTCCAAAGATGAGTTCCCCATCACTAGAAGTGATCAAGAAGAGGCTGTCAGTGATGCTAAAGGGCAGTTTTGTACTTTGAGTAGGGGCCTGGATGAGTTAATGCTCTATGGACTACAAAGTATTTTCTGATGGCCTACTTAAACTTTACCCAGCCATGCCAGTTAGATTATTTCTACTTTACAAGATGAGGAAACTGAGACTCTGACTTGCTGAAGGTTACCAGACTAATAGCAATTCCAGTATTAATTGCTTATCTTGTCACTTCAGATCTTTTCTCAACCTCACGCTATTCTCTCAGGACTCTTCCTTTTAAGATTATGCAATTTCTATTGGATCAAGAATTTGGAGACATTGTTTTTTCTTTTCCTGAACAGAATGTGTTTCAGAAATCAGAATATTAAATTTAAAGCAATTGTCTAAAATAATGTACATCTAGGTAATGCTATTACTATCAATGATAAGAGTTCATTTTAGTGCAGATAATTATTTTTTGATGAACAAGATGTAAATATGCATGGCTAAAGGGGTAGCTAAAGGGAGGTCAAGAAATGAATGCAAGAACTGGCTGTAATTAGTTTTTGTCTGAGGCTTGTACTGATTATCAAGTCTCTACATCTTTTACTTGTGACCATTACCATGTCTGGGACCACATAGAAAGCAGAATATTGAATACTGGACCTGTATGCTCAGGTAGAAAATCACCTGTGTTCAGCACCAGTGTTCTCTTAGGATGACTCTTCCTAAGAACATTGGACTAGTATATTATGGGGGTGTTAATTCTAAAAGCTAATTTTTGCAACCTAGGTCTATTTTTTCATAAAGGTCACTTTATGACTGGTTCTCAGGCAAGCCCTCGAAAGTTCTTTAAAGCCTTCATTGTTCTCCTAAAGAGAAGCAGTCCTGGAGCCGGGGTAGAGCAGGGTAGGAACCCAAGAGCACCTAGGGCTTGGTTATTGCCCATCCCCATTCGCATCTCAGTCCCTTTATCCAGCCAATCTTGATGTCGCAAAGTTTACACAGAACCAGAGATAAATAGAGAAGCCAGACTTGTGGAGAGAGGAGGGGAAGATAATACAATCTCCATCTGTTCAATAAGCTGGGAGAGGAGGGAATTTGGGAAGAAAAATTCCCAATTATTCATATTGCAGCTCTGGGGAAGGAAGAATGACTGTTCTTGAGTCCTAGGTGCCTAGGTACAGTAGATATTTCCAGAATGCCAAAATTCCATGAAGCATATATATAAGTCAGCTACATGTAAATTGGGAGCTTCTTAATTAAAATAAGATATCTCTTACTTTATATAATTATTTTTCAGTAGTTACTTGCCTCTTTTCCATAGCTGGGAAATCAGTGGCAAAGCTGAGAAAGGAACCTGGATTAATTGATTCTCAGCTTGGAAACCCATGGATCAGTAGAACTACAAAGATTAGGAACTTTCTTATTCCTGATTAGTAGAATTAGAACATTGGAGCTGCATGGAATAGTCTAATATTATATACATATCATTTACTTGCCTGCATCTTGAGTTGAAGTCTTATAGGTAGAAGCTGGTGATCCTTAGAGGATTGCCTTCTTGCAGAGTGGCCAAATAGAAGAATCAAGAAGTATAAACTGTAATAGCAGATGAATCACATTGCCCTCTTGACCTCTGGAAATCAGTAACCAACTATAAACATTACTCAACAGTGTAGGCAGATTTCCAATTAGCCCTATAGAGGCCCTCTATGAAATATGTTTATTTCATTGTTACAAAGAATGACCTATCTAAGGCAGCTAGGAACCAATAACAACAGTATTAAACACACATACAGGTAAATATTTGACATTCCTTCAGGATTATTATCTCTGTCTGAGAATTCTGAAGACCTGCAGGGCTTTGTGTTGGAACAGTCATATGTGGGAGCTGGCTCATACTGGCCAGTGAGCCTATTTTCAGGCATTTTTCCAGCCTTTTTTTTTTTTTTTTTGAGAGAGTCTCGCCCTGTCTCCTAGGCTGGAGTGCAGTGGCGCAATCTCAGCTCACTGCGACCTCTGCCTCCCCAGTTCAGGCAATTCTCTGCCTCAGCCTCCTGAATAGCCGGGATTGCAGGCACTTCCCACCACGCCCAGCTAATTTTCGTGTTTTTAGTAGAGACAGGGTTTCACCATCTTGGCCAGGCTGGTCTTGAACTCCTGACCTCATGATCCACCCACCTCGGCCTCCCAAAGTGCTGGGATTACAGGCGTGAGCCACGGTGCCTGGCCTTTTCCAGCCTATTTTTAAACACTGCCAATCGTATAATTAGAAATTTTTTAACTTACTGAAAATCAAGATAATAAATACTCCAAATGCATCAATTTTTAATGATTTTTCTATATGGGTAGTATGTAATTTTGTGCTGTTGGATGTTAATTCTCAATTCCAGACTCAGTCATACCATGTTAGTAGTTTGAATTTGCGAAAAGTTAGTAGTTTATTCCACTATGTTGGGAATATTTACACCCTGGAAATCAGTTTGCACTACAAACAAAAGACTCATTTATTTTTATTTATTTATTTATTTTTTTTTTAATTGTGTACTCTAGATTTGGAGGTGGCATTTTGGAGAATATGTTAATAAGGTTTAAAGTTAAAAGTGTGTTGTGGCCGGGCACGGTGGCTCACACCTGTAATCCCAGCACTTTGGGAAGCCGAGACGGGCGAATCACGAGGTCAGGAGATCAAGACCATCCTGGCTAACACGGTGAAATCCCATCTCTACTAAAAATACAAAAAATTAGCTGGGCATGGTGGCGGGCGCCTGTAGTCCCAGCTACTTGGGAGGCTGAGGCAGGAGAATGGCATGAACCCGGGAGGCGGAGGTTGCAGTGAGCCAAGATTGCACCACTGCACTCCAGCCCGGGCGGCAGAGCAAGACTCCATCTCAAAAAAAAAAATTTTAAAAAGTGTGTTGTATCTACAGCCTTTACATTGTGAATTGCATGAACAGTTAAGGAAATATTTTCCCAGAAATATGACATCTACAAAGAAACACACTAATTATCCAGCAACAGATTTCAATGAGAAAGAAATTTATAAAAATCCTTGAAAAATAATTCAAAATAATGATACTAGAGAAGTTCAGTGAGACATAAGAAGACCCAAATAAACAATATAATGAAATCAGGGAAATAATTAGGGACATGAGTGAAAAGTTTACCAAAGAGAGATATCATGGTAACCAAACAGAAATCCTGGATTTTATTTTATTGAATGAAGTAAAAAGTACATTCAAGAGCTTCAACAATGGATTATATCAAGCAGAAAAAAGACCTTCAGAACTTGAAAACAGATCTTTTGAAATAATCCAGTCAGACAAAAATAAAGAAAAAAATAAAAAGAATGAACAGAGCATAAGGGACACCATAAAGTGATCAAATATTCAAGTTTTCAGTGTTCCAGAAGGTGAAGAGAGGACCAAAGGAATAGAAAACCTATTTAATGAAATAATAGCTGAAAACTTCCCAAGTCTAGCAACAGATTTAGATATCCAGATACAAAAAGTTCAGAAATCCCCAAATAGATACAATTCAAGAGAATCTTCTTCATGACATGTTATAGTCAAACTTTCAGCAAAGGAAACAATCAACAGAGTAATGAGACAACTTGTTGAATGGGAGAAAATATTTACAAAAATTATTCATCCAACATGGGACTAATATCCAGAATATACAAGGAACTCAAACTATTCAACAAGAAAAAAACAAATAATCTCATTAAAAAGTAGGCAAAAGACATGAATAGACACTTCTCGAAAGAAGACATACAAATGGCCAAATGGGTATAGTTTAAAATGCTCAACATCACTAATCATCAGGGAAATGTAAATTAGTGGAGTTCTCACGAATGGACTAGTGCCCCAGAGAGCAGCCTTGTCCTTTCATCATATGAGGACACAGCTAGAAGATGCCATCTATGAACCAGAAAGCGGGTCTTCACCAGACACTGAATCTGCCTTGATCTTGGATTCTGCAGCTTTCAGACTTTGAGAAATAAATTTCTGTTGTGTATAAGCCACCTGGTTTATGACATTTTATTATAGCAGCCTGAACTAAGACAACACCCTTTATGTCAGTTAAATTTACAATTACCTTACGTACATATATACGTACATATAAGGTCCCACCCTGCCCCATCTTGGAAAGCTACTTGTTAAACATTTACCAGCACACCACTAAAGGGCAAGAAAGTGTCATTTGAACTCAGTGACTTAGGGAAATATATCTTGGCTTCAGGCTGTGGATAGAGATTTTCAAGCACATCTAGGAAGTATTTCAAAAGGTAATTTAGGAAAAATTTCAAAAGATAATCTTTAGGCCCTTCACATGCTCCTATCTTCCAGGTTCTGGAAGCAGCTATCGCAAGTGCTTAAATGTTCCTCCTGTGACTCTGTGACTGTCCAAAGTCCCTGTTTCCAGTTCAGCTTTCTTTGAAAAGCCCTTGAGCTTTAATATCACCATCATGCCTCATTAAAACTCCTATTCACTGGGTGCAGAAGACTGCTTATTACTGAAAGTAATTTGACTAAAACATAAATACTGCAAAATGTAAGTATATTTTAATTTCATTATATATTCTTTGTCCATACTATTTTTATGGCTGCAGAGTATTCAATCATATGAGCCTTTTACACTTTAGTTAATCAATACCAAATTATTTAGATTTTAACTAAATTTTTATTATTACACACAATGCTGAAATAAAAAGATCATAGTTTAAATTTTGCTCACATCTTGAATTGCTTTCTTGGACATATTCTTAAAACTAGATTTACTGTTTTTGAGATTAAGGTTTTTGAGAAATTCTGGATAGCTATTGCAAATCGCCTCCCAGGAAGTTAGTAACTGATTTATCCTATCATCAGTAGAATATTAGAGCATTTAGGTCCATACATAGAGAGGTACACAGTTATGTGCAATGACATCATTGCATGTATCTTCCTCTATAGACTTGAATTGTAGACTGAGTTGTTAAGATTATCACTGGGTTTTGAGTTTATGTGCAATTTTTCTTTATTATTCCGTATGTGTAATTTGTAGTATTTTTTACATTGAACATTAAAAGAGGAGTACTATTAATTGAAACAAATAAATAAGATTTGTTACATTAACACAGTTCTGCCCTTAACACAATTAAAAGATAAATGACAGACTAGAAAAAATATTTGCAACATCTCTAACAGTGGGTTTATATCCTACGTGTAAAATATAAATCAGTAAAATGGAGAATGTTTTTGATAGAATAATCCTGTCATTGGCCTACTCTGTGCTTTGCCCCACCACCCTCTCACTTATAACCCAAAACACACACACACGCACACACACACACACACACACACACACACACACCCTTTCCCTCTTGCCCTACTTGCATCCACCATCACCTACAATCTGGTATCCACCCACATTCACGTGTACAACCTGCCCTCAGTACTCATTCTTCTTATACTTCTGCATTCCCACACTGAGCCTTACCCTCACACGCCCATACCAACCTTTATCTATAGTCCCACACACATGCACGCACACAGAGACACCTCTGCCCTACCCACCCTCACCTACCCCCTTCTACAATCCTGCATATACATGCACACCTTCACCCATACATACCCACCCTCGCCTACAAACCTATATCCACGCATATTCATACCTGACCACAACTACCTAACCAGCGGTTTGATGCCACACTTTAGAAAGGTTCATACACCCTACTTTTAAAAACCATCATGATTTAGGCTGGAATTAGTAAACTGCTATTTGATTTTACAGATAAAGTTTCAAAAGGTTAAATAATTGAACAAGGTCACACTGCTAGCAGTTTCTAAGAGTCCTAAAAAGAACACAGGTGTCTGAAGCTCTGTCCAATGTTCTGTCATTCACATCACAGCTGTCTACATACGTCTCTTTGAAACAACCTGAACTCTTCTCTCAATATAAAATTGAGGTGAAATACCAAATTAAGGCACATGGGTCCGTTATTGCCAAAGTGATGGATTTCCTGACAACCATTCCACCCAGAAGATTTTTTTTCCCAGAACTAATAATCCCATCCCCGTTGCTGGTGATTAACTTAATAACGAGCATGACAATCAACAAACAGATTGAAAAGGCAACCTACTCAGAATGGGAGAAAATATGAAACCATATACCAGAGATGAAAGTAATATCCAGAATATATAAAGAATTCCTACAACTTGATAACAAAAACACCCCAATCTAAAAATGGACACAGAATTTAAATAGACATTTCTCCAATGAAGATGGCCACCACACATGTGAAAAGATGCTCAACATCACTAATCATCAAGGGAAATGCAAATCAAAACCACAATAGCACAATGAGATATCATTTCAGACCCCGTATGATGTTAGGATGGCTACTTTCAAAAAAACAGAAAATAAGTGTTGGTAAGGAAACACCTGCACACTGTTGATGGGATTATAAAATGGGCAGCCACTATGGAAAATAGTATGGAGGTTCCTAAAAAAACTGCAATTAGAATTCCCATATGATCCAGTCATCTCCTACTGCATATATATCCAAAAGAATTGAAAGCAGGATCTTGAAAAGATATCTGCTCTCCTATGTTCATGCAGCATTATTCACAACAGCCAAGATGTAGAGGTGATTCAAATGTCCATCAGTGAATGAATAGATAAAGAAATGTGGTATATACATACAATGGAATCTTAGCCTAAAAAAGAAAGAATTCCTGTCATATGCTACAGCATGGATGAACCTTGAGGACCTTATGGTAAGTGAAATGAGCCAATCAGAAAAAGATGGGTGCTAGATGATCCTACTTATGTGAGGTATCTGAAGTAATAAAACTCATGGAAATGAAAGTAGAATAATGGTTACCAGGGGCTGGGGGAGGGGAAAACACCATGTTGTTCAATGGGTATAGAGTTTCAGTCATGCGTGCGGAAAACGTTCTAGAGATCCGTTGTACAACAATGTGCATATCACAACATTACTGAACTGTACACTAAAAAATGTTAAGAGGGCCAGGCACAGTGGCTCACCCCTGTAATCCAGCACTTTGGGGGGCCAAGGTGGGAGGATCGCTTGAGCCCAGGAGTTGGAGACCAACCTGGGCAACACAGCAAGACTTCATTTTTACTAAAAATAAATAAATATATAAATAAAAAATAGCCAGGCATGGTGGCAAACGCCTGTAGTCCCAGCTACTTGAGAGGCTGAGTTGGGAGGATCCCTTGAGCCCAGTAGTTCCAGGTTACTGTAAGCTATGATCTCGCCACTGCGCTTCAGCCTGGGCAGCAGAGCAAGACTGTCTCAGAAAAAAAAATTGTTAAGAAGATAAAGTTATGTTATGTGTTTTTACCACATTAAATAACAATAACAAAAAAGAATGAGCATCTGGCCTAATTCTGACGAGTAAAATTGGAAGGGAAGTCAGTTGGGGGCTAGGAAATCTTTGCTTGCTCATAAGAAAGTGATTTTAGAAATGATTGCCTGGAACCGTTACATGTATTTTCTTACCAGTCCGAGGATGAACACACAAGAGATTCACAGGAACAAACCAGACCACTGACTTGCTGCACTGAAGTTGCAATACTTCTGAGACGTAGATCTCCTTATTAATCTAGCTCAGTGTTTTGTTACCTGCAGCACAGAAACACTTTCCCTGAAAAACAGATACAACTTTTAAAGCATAATTTTTATTCTTTAGGTATTCTGGTAAGTGATCTAAACTATATGTCTATTTAAAAAATAAACCTACATTAGACCTAGGATTAATTTATGAATTGGGATTACTTATTTTAAAAATATAGGGAGAACATTTAAAGTCAGGTTTATTGAGGTATAATTTATATTCAGCAATCCTCCTTTAAATATACAGTTTGATTTTGGCAAATGCATATTTCTTTATGGATTAGTCTTTATGCTTATTTACCAAGTAAATAATTATGAAGAAACTATCATAACTGCAGTTTTAATTTAAGGAAAGTTCTCTCCAAATGGGGTAAACTCTTTTAAAATAGGTGGCACCAGTTTAATTTCTAAAGGAGCTGTGAAGACATCTGTAGACATAGAGATAAGAGTTCTATTTAGATCAGTATTTTTTTTTTTAGAGACGGAGTCTCGCTCTGTTGCCCAGGCTGGAGTGCAGTGGTACGAACTTGGCTCATTGCTACCTCCACCTCCCGGGTTCAAGCGATGCTCCTGCCTCAGCCTCCAGAGTTGCTGGGATTACAGGCACCAGCCACCATGCCTGGGTAATTTTTGTATTTTTAGTAGAGACAGGGTTTCACCATGTTGGGCAGGCTGGTCTTGAACTCCTAAGGCTGGTCTTGAACTCCTAACCTCAAGTGATCCACCCACCTCGGCCTCCCAAAGTGCTGGGATTACAGGTGTGAGCCACCGTGCACAGCCTAGATCAGTATCTTGAGTGCCAGAAAGTGCTCTGTCCACAACCATATTTTTTTGTTTATCATTTTTATTTGCAATAACCCAGAACTGTCCTGGTTTTTGTGCTGAAAGTCTCCAGTCCCAGGAAACTCTGCAGTCCTGGGCAAACCAGGATGGTTGGTCACCCTAGCAACATTTCTCAACCTAGGAACTATTGACATTCTTTGTTGTGGGGACTGTTATGTGCATTGTAGGAAGATTGCATCATTTGTGACCTCTACCCACTAGGTGGGTCCACTCCCAGTTGTCACTATCAAAAGTGTCTCCAGATAGTGTCAAATGTCCCTGGGGGGGCAAAATCACTCAAGGGGGCAAAATCACCAAAATCAGGCATCTGCCCTAGAGGTAAGTGCCCTCACAACTCACACATTTGAAATTCATAATCTTATTTTCTGTTGCTGTTGTAAAGCAAAAGCAAGTTGATTCTCCTGTTTTTATAGCAGAGGACTTAAAATGCTGAGGAATTGCTTCCAGACTGTCCCTTTTTGGAGATCCCCCTTCTTCACCCCTCACCCCTGCCCCTTTTTCTTAACATTGCAAATGACCTGACCGATGATTCTAGGTGCATCTTTCTTGTAGGTTCTGGGAAGCCGTCCTTGTGACCTGTGTCCAGTCTAACTCTCTAGACTTGAAATTCTTTTTCTGTTTGCTACTTCCAATTCTCCCATACATATATAGCCATATCATACGATGATATTCTTAAGACACATTTATAGGATTGAATGTGCATGTGTTTTAATGGGATGGTATTTTGTGCACTTTTCTGTTTTTGCCTTTCTCAGCCAACAATACTACCTGGAAATATCTTCAACAAAATAATACAGCTATAATTTGTTCTTGTTAATAACGGTGTAATATTGCCTGTTATATATAGTGAATATACTGTATTTTATATGCCATTTCCCTATTATCTTTCTTTGCCTCAACATGCTCTATTGGAATAAACATCTCTGCACATATATCCTTACCTTCTAGAGTTCTTTTTCCTGTGGGAGATGTTCCAAGAAACAGGATTACTGGGTCAAAGAATATTTCTAATTCTAACAGATTTGCCACACAGTTTTCTGGAAAAACTATAGTGGTTTCCATTTCTATTTATATTATTGTTAAAACGACAATGACACAAAACCCCTTTCTATGTATCCCCGATAGAAATAAGTGTTATTGCTCCATTTAATGTTTGCCAGTCTGATGAGAGTAAATTCATGTCTCATTGGTGGTTTAATTTGTATTTTCCCAACTAGTGGAGCCTGTACATTGTTTAATGATTGTAGACTATTTCCATTTTCTTCTCTGTGAAATTTTCTGCTTCTGCTCTTTAACATTTTTCTATGAGAAATTTGTTCTTACAATTTGTAAAAGCTTATCTGTATTTATCCTACATGCATATTGCCACCACTCTGTCACTTTTTTCAGATTTAATTTTTCCTTCTCTTGTTTTGATAACATTTGTATTTTCTGGCATTTTTTGGTCCATTCTTTCATTTCTTGGCCTTCCTTTGCTCTTTTTCCTGTTCTTCTTGTAGACAGTATGTACCTGGGTTTTGTTTCAGCTGAATCTGAAGGTGAGTCTTTCATGAACGTACTCGTAGGAGTATTATATACTGACCATATTCTTGATATTCCTTCCACAGTACTATATTATTCATTTTTACTTGGTTGTTCACAATTTCTTTCTTGCTAATTAATTTGTAAGTCCCACAATATTTTTCAATTTTTAGCACTTAGACCTCTGTTTCTCAAAAATATGGTGCCCAATCTTTCTCCCTTCTGAATGCTTAATTTCCTCACTCTTTATTCCCAATAAGATAAGATCTTTAAAATATTTCTTCATCCCTGCTCCTCTCCTCTCCTAGCCTCCTCTCATTGCCTTTGAAATGTTTTTACTTTGTTCTTATCCTCAACCCCCTGCTCCTAGGAATTGCTAAGCACCTTTAGTTCTTTTTGTTTAGGACTGTTATTAGAGTATCTCTGGCATTATGTCTCTTCTATTGCGATGTTCCTTATTTTTACTTATTCTCCATAGCCCCAGACAGTTTGTCATTATCAATTTAAATGTAAATACATTTACTTTTCAAAGTTAATTGCTCATTACTCTTCTCCTCTTTTCTTCATAGACCCTTATTTTGAGTACTCTGTTCACATTCATTTATTGTTGGATATCTTTTCTTGAGTTTTTCCTTAAATCAGATATATTTTCTGAATTCATGCATATGCACAAATCTATGGTTGTTATAGGAGAGTTGGGCTACAGGTCTTTTCTCTTGCTCATCTGTGGATGCCACTCTATCTTCTACTATTGCAGATGAGACACTTGTTGCCAATCTCACTAATAGGCAAATTGTGTCTTTTGTCTGAATGCTCATAAGGTTTTCTCTTTATCCTTGGAGTTCAGGAATTTCTAGAATGTTACTTTGGGGTTTATCGTGTATGGATATATGTGTTTGTCTTCTAATTCTCTAATATTTTTTCCTCATGAATTGCATCTTTTTTTCTCTGTGCTTTGAAAGGTTTCTTCCACTTGATTTTCCAGGCCACTATTTGTCATTTCCTAGTGCTCCCTACCCTTCCTGCAGAGCTTTCAATTCAATGCTTATGGGCACTTATTTCCCAAAATAAAAGAAATTTCATATTGAAAATAAACAGATTATCAAGAAGTCATAATAGTCATTAGCTTTTATGCCAAAATAGCACAGTCTCAAACTTTATGAAAAGTGATAGAAATATGAGGAAAAATGGATTAATCTACAATCTTTCTGGAGGACTTTTACACATCTCTTTTAGATACCAAAAGATCAATTAGGCAGAAAACAAGAATACAGAAGACTAATATAGCACAATTAGCAAGTAGGATCTAACATACGCATACAACTGTGCACCCAACCAAAAAGGAAATGCACGTTCTTTCATATAGAATATCTCTGAAAATTTACCATGTAATAGACCACAAAGGAAGTTGCTCACAAATCCTGGAAAACAAATACATACGTACATGACACACCTTGTTCACTGAACACTGAACATACCTGTTGAATTCCACAATAGAACTGAAAAAGATTCAACAAAAAAAAATTTTAAAGTGTTCTACAGATAGCTGAAAATGTTAAAATATGGGTTTAAATAACTTTTTCGTTAAACAAGGCCTATAAAACTAAACTATAAAAATTTGGAAATAGACCAGGTGTGGTGGCTCACGCCTTTAATCCCAGCAGTTTGGGAGGCCAATGTAGGCAGATTACCTGAAGTTAGGAGTTCGAGACCAGCCTGGCCAACATGGTGAAACCCCGTCTCTACTAAATATACAAAAATTAACCAGGCATGATGGTGGGCACCTGTAATCCCAGCTACTTGGAAGGCTGAGGCAGAGAGAATTGCTTGAATCCGAGAGGCAGAGGTTGCAGTGAGCCGAGATAGTGCCACTGTACTCTAGCCTTGGCGACAGCAAGACTCTGTCTTGAAAAAAAATTGGAAATAAGATAATGAAAGTAGTACATTATTAATCATCCAAAGTAGTGTTCAGTGGAAAATTTACATTTTTCTTTTTTCTTTTTTTTTTTTTTTTTGAGACGGAGTTTCGCTTTTGTCGCCCAAGCTGGACTGTAAAGATGCAATCTTGGCTCAGTGCAAACTCCGCCTCCCAGGTTCAAGCGATTCTCCTGCCTCAGCCTCCTGGGTAGCTGGGATTATAGGCACGTGCCACCACGCTCAGTTAATTTTTGTATTTTTAGTAGAGACAGGGTTTCACCATATTGGCCAGGCTGGTCAAGAGCTCCTGACCTCCGGTGACCCACCCGCCTCAGCCTCCCAAAGTGCTGGGATTAGCCATGAGCCACCATGCCCAGCCTATATTTTTCTTAAATGTTTGCTCTAGCAAAGAAAGATTGAGTATAAATGAGCAAAGAAGCTGGGGAAATAAACAACATAATAAACCCAAATAAAGTAGAATGAAGGGATTTGAGAAATAAATATTGAAGAAAAATAAAACAAAAAAATCAATTTGAGCTTATTAACAAAATTCAAAGCTAGTTCTTTTAAGATGTCTAATACTATAGAAACATCTTTGGCCTGATATATGAAGGAGAAGAGAGCAAAAGGAAAAGGACACAGTAAATTTAAAAGTATGTTTTAATACAATACAATCTATGGCAGAATGCGTAATTGTTCACAATACTTTGCATCTCCCTGTATTCATGTCCTTTGTTATGTAAATTCGCAATTCCTCCTGGTAATGGTAAAATATATCCACCTCCATTCATAATATTGTGCTGGACTGTGTGATTTACTTTGGCAGAAGTGCCAGTGCCAGTTCTGAATCTAGGCCTTAAGGGTATCACATATGTCCACTTATCCCTCTTGTACTTCTTCCATCCCCAGGAGAAGAATGTGTCTCTGGTAGCCAATTGATCCAAAAAGGATCTGACATTTTCAGATGTGGAACCAAGGCCAGCCAAGCCCAGCCAAGCCCAGCATAGATCCGATCCGCCAAAGCCCAACTGTCTTACAGATGTATAAACTGGAATAAATGTTGCTTTATACTTAGTTTGGGGTGGTTTACTACACAGCATTATTATGGCTATGCTGACTAGCACACTATGTTACCAACACATTGGAAAAAACAGAATATGCACATAATTTTTCTGAAAAATATTTTGGCAAAATAGTCCCAAGAAGAAGTAGAAAATCTGAACAAATAAATTAACACAAAAGAAAAATTAATGCCAAGTTCTGCCACCACCAAATGACATGTTCTACTATGTCTTCAAAAAGACAGATTATTCTTGTCTTATATAAACTATTACAGAACAGGAAAAATGGTGAGAAATGATCCAATTCATTTTTTTAAAAAGGTAGCATAACATTGGTAGCAATGCCAGACTAGAACAGAAAGAGAAAAGAAAATCATTGATCAAGCTTAACGTACCCAGAAATCCTAAATAGTAGCAAATCAAATCCAGCAGTGAACTTAAAGAACGACAGTGACAAGTGCAAGGATGGCACTTTTCTCTGGTAGATGATGCCATGAACAAAATTAAACAAAAATGCCAAACTGTGAAAAAATATTTTCAACATATATAATAGTGTCTAGAATATATTTTTTAAAACTTGTGTAAACCATTGACAGAGAAGAAACTAACCTAATAAAATGAGTACAACATCTAACTAGGGATTTTCACAATAGAGGGACTACAAATGGACAATAATACAAAATATTTAATCTTATTAGAAATCAAAGAAACACTAATTCAAAAAATTAGTTATTTTATGCCATCAGATAGGTCAAAAATAATCAAATGGGTAATACCAAGTGTTGGAGAGATGTGGGGAAACAATTATTATTATTATTTTTGTTTTGAGACAGAGTCTCACTCTGTCGCCTAGGCTGGAGTGCAGTGGCATAATCTTGACTCGCTGCAACCTCCACCTCCCGGGTTCAAGTGATTCTTCTGCTTCAGCCTCCTGAGTAGCTGGGATTACAGGCGCCCACCATCACACCCAGCTAATTTTTGTATTTTTGGTAGAGATGTGCTTTCGCCATGTTGACAAGGCTGATCTAGAAATCCTGGCCTCAGGTGATCTGCCTGCCTTGCCTCCTAAAGTGCTGGAATTACAGGCGTGAGCCACTGCACTTGGCCTACAACTTCCGTTTGACACTGGTGAGAATATAGTTTGTTACAACCTCTTTGTAAAGCAATTTGCCCATATTTGGTAAAGCTGAAAATGAGTATACTTCATGAAGTAATGGTTTGTCTGTAAGTTTATACTGGGGATAAGTATAAGTTATACTGGGAGGTGGGGGAAGAAAAGATAATTAGTGGGGCCCTGAGGTCTTGAAGGAAAACTGGGCCTCAATTATATGTCATGGAAATATAAATCCCATAAGAATATTTTTTAGCTGGTCCACTTTGTGGGAGGCCCCATGTCTTGTTTGGTGATCACATACGTACCTAGAAGCCACAGAGGAAGACGTTCATTAAAGTATTGTTTACATAAGCAAAAATCAAAAATAATCTAATGCTAACTATTAAGAGTATGATTAAATAAATGGTATTAAATGCACTGTACATTTATTTAGTGGAATATTAGGCAACCACTAGTACATGGTTATGAAACCTAAGTAGCACCATAAGAACTTGTTACAATACTTAAAAGCAAAAAAAGCAGCATACAAAATAATATTCATACTATGATTACACTTGTGTGAAAAATGCATGCATAGGCAGAAAAAAGATTGAAAAGAAATATGTCAAAAAGATAATGATTGAGTGAAGTTCATGCAATTAAGAGTGTTTTTTTTTGTTTTTACTTCCCAAATAAACTATAATGTAGCAGTATTAGCTTGCATTTCAAAAAATAATTTAAAAAATATAGAGACGTGAATAGAAGATCCATAAACCTTACAAGAATTATAGGGAGAAAAACTACTTACAATTAATTTTTACAGGTGAAAAAATACTAACCTTACATTTATTAAGAGAGAAGTCAAGATAATACATAAGATATGAACCACAAATTGCACCCCCTCTCTAACAGTTATAATATTATCAGGAAATTTCAAAAAATAAGATGTTCTACCTATTTTGGTTAACAATATCTATGAAGTTGTAATGTACTTTATATTCTAATTCTACTGAATACAACTTAGTCCACTTCAAACTGTACACACATTATTAGAGCCTAAGGTATCACTAATAGCAGCCAAAATAAAAAATACATCACATAGAACCCTTTCTGTACTAAAAACACACAAAAAATTAGCCAGGTGTGGTGGTGGGTGCCTGTAATTCCAGCTACTTGGGAGGCTGAGGCAGGAGAATCTCTTGAACCTGGGAGATAGAGGCTGCAGTGAGCCGATGAGCCGAGATTGACTCATTGCACTCCAGCCTGGGTGACAGAGCGAAACTTCCTGTCAAAACAAAACAAAACAAACAAACAAAAGGATGTAAATTGCACATAGTGTTGGTTATATGAATGTTACCTTTCTTCAAGAGTACAATCATTTAATCTTAAATAACATTGCTCCATGGAATCAAATACTTAGATATTTTACAAAATGAAGCAGTTGTTACCAATTAAAAAAAAAAAAAACCAGGTGACACCATCCCTGGTAAATTGAAGTCTTCCTTTCAAAGGCAGAAGTTCTGTTAAGTGACCTATTAATTGGGATTATTAGTTGCCTAAGCTACTCCCATCCATCCATCCATCCATCCATCCATCCATCCATCCATCCATCCATCTATCCATCCATGCACTAATTAATTAAAACAAATACACACTGGCCGTCTTTTCCATGTCAGGCTCAGAGTGTTGGGCTGTTAAAAAGTTAAATCCCACAAGGGATAGTTCTTTGGAATCATGTACAGTTTTCACTTCTTGTTTCCCCTGAAGTACATAAAAGTGAGTTGTGTTTACCATACACTTTGAAGAACTTCAAGTCTAATCCTTTTTTTTTTTTTTTTTTTTTGAGATGGATTCTGCTCTGTCGCCCAGGCTGGATTGCAGCGGTGTGATCTCGGCTCACGGCAACCTCTGCCTCCTGGTTTCAAGCAATTCTCATGCTTCAGCTTCCTGGGTAGCTGGGATTACAGGCGCGCGCCACCATGTCTGGCTCATTTTTTTTTTTTTTTTTTTTTGTATTTTTAGTAGGGACGGGATTTCGCCATGTTGTCCAGGCTGGCCTTGAACTCCTAGCCTCAAGTGATCTGCCCTCCCAAATGCTGGGATTACAGGCATGAGCCACTGTGCCTGGCCCAAGTCTAATCTTTTTCATCCAAGATTCCATATCTCCAAAAATTGGGCACCAATTTACTTTCCCACTTTTTTCCTTCCAACAAGTCTGGGTAATTCCCATGGGATTGTCAGCCTGTTCTTGTCTGCATTTTTTGTTTGTTCATTAGTTCATCTGTTTATTAACGTTTTGAGTACCTATTATAAAGCTAATGTAAAGCTTGGTGCTCTGGGGTGATATGAACAAAATGCAAAAATTAGTTTGCGCTGTTCTGAAGCTTAGAATTAATCACCTCTTCTCTGCGACCCTGAAGTACTTTGTACATGCTCTGGTGCAGCTTTTTCATACACTGTTAATGGGTTAATCACCCATATATGGTAAATCTCCAGCACCTGGTAAAATAAGTGACTTATATTAGACATCTGTATACTTTGTAAACATATAGTTTATACAGAGAAACATGACATCTACACATGTAATACACATATAATAATACTATCAATACAAGTTATAGTTAGGAGACAAAGTGAGTTGTATTAACAGGAAATACTATAACAGTGCTAAGAAAAGGAAAAACCAAATAATTCCTTTGTTCATGCTGTATTTTCATCATTAAATGTCCTTCCTCATCTGTGTTCTATTCCATACCCAGCTGAATACTTCTTCTGTGATGTCACCCAAGACTACAGCTCTTATCACGTCTTGATGAATTAAATCTCTTTTTGCAACAACTTATCAAGTATACATGAATCCTCAATAAAATTATAAAACTTTCGGGCAGTCACTGGTAACATTTGCCTCTATGTCTCTTACAGTATCTTGTAAAAAACAGATCCTCAGAAATTATGGGATGATTTTGTTTGCCAGATGCATGGAATGAGCTACTTTAAATTTCACATAAAATTCTAAAGTAGACTCTTATGAATAAAATATTGAATGTAATGCATACATGCTATTTTAACTACTTGTATCTGTGTAATGCTTTACAGTATATAAATGTTTTATATACATTTTACTGCTGGATATTTTAAAATTTGTTATTCATGTTTATAATCTTTGTTTTACAGATGATTATAATCAGGTTAATTTAAGTCAAAGTAACTTGCCCCTGGTTTCACTAATAAATAGCCAAGTTAGATTTGAATTTAGGTCTTCTCAAACCAAATCTCTTGTTTTCTAATAATATTATATAGTGTACTAAATGTCCACATTAATTTAATTATAGAATACGAAAGCGATTAGATTCTGCTTAAGTGGTAACTGACACAAACATCATAAAAAGTAATAGGTTGTTATTAAAAAACAAGTTATTAGCAAAAGGCAAAATTTAGAAAAATTAGAAAAAGTCATGAATACACTGTGATTATATCAGGGCTAATTTCATTACCTCACACAAAAACAGTTAATTTACAAAGATAGGTTGCTAAAACCTCAGGGTTTTTTTTTTTTTTTTTTTGACAAATTGAAATTTTTAATGTAGACTTCTGCAAGACACTACTAGAAAAAAATATATATAATGAACATTAAAAAATTTAATTCTCAGAAAAGGATGAAAAACACTGATTTATAAGAAAAGAAAAAGGAGGCCTTAAACTCGGGAAAATTAAAATGGCAGTAAATTGAATGGAAGAAAACGAGTCTTTAAGGAGTGATCTAGTGCTGTGTCTCACAGGAATATGGAAAAGAGATCACCAACTTGTAGTTTCTATTACTCTATGTTTATTTGTTATTCATTTTTTTCTACATTAAGTAGCTTTTTTTTATTTTTAGTTTTTAGTTTCAAAATGTGTAGTATTTTATGTTTGGTGATTTTACAGCTAATGTTGCATTTCACTGAAGCTTGGTCAGTGGTATACTGCCCATATCCACAAGGTGTCATTATAACATTGTATTTGGTTTGAAACCTTTCTTGCATTTTTCACTCATTTGTTTTCGCATTTACAGTAAGCTTCAACAAGGACATTTCACAGTGGGTGCCACTGGAGGATGCTAGTTGCTCTGAGGGAAATTGCTAAGGCTAGAGGAGTTTTGAAAAAAGCTGAAGGCTGGACCAATGAAGCTACTGATGGGCAACACTGACCAGAACTGGAACAATTGGAAGCAATGTTGTTTTCCTCTTTTCTCACCTTTCACTCCCATTATGTAACCCTAGTAACAAAACACAATAGGCAGTTAGTGGGCAAGGGAGTCTGGGAAAGATATTCCGCAGAGTCCCAGCACAGAGCAGAGTAGAACAGAGTAGGATTGGAGCTGAGAGATAGTAAGTAAATAGGCAGCAGAAATATGTCAAGCAACAATACCCCATGTAAGTAGAAGGGGATGGTGGTTGGAATCCTTGTATTATTTAGAAGGAGAGTAAAAATGTTGATTCTCTTTAAAATTCAAAAAAGTTAAATATGCATATTACAATTTCTAGGGTACCTACTATAAAGACCAAAATAAACTTTCAAAGCAGAAACAGGAAACAAAAATGGGATGAGGGGAAATAGTCCATTAATCCAAGAAAAGGCAAGAAAGGGGAAATTATTATTATAAAGCAACATAAAATGAGATATGTGAAATAAATCCAAATATATTAGTAATCACAATCAATTTAAATGGATTGAACTTTCCGGTTAAAATAGATTTGATTTATCAAAACAACATAATACAGGCATAAAAAGACATACGAACCAATGGAACAAGATAGAGAGCCTAGAATTAAATCCACACATTTACAGTTAGTTGATTTTCAACAAAGATGCCAAGAATGTATAATGGGAAAAGGATAGTCTCTGTGTGAAATGATATGTAACCTTTAGTGTCTTCTATCCTTGATGCACATGCTATTTAGAAATCTGGAAAGCAGTTGGAAATGGAATCATTTATGTCAAGTATAAACATTGATATGATCTTTAGCTTAATTAAAACCACAGGAACAGACCTGAAAAAATAATCAAATTTCCAAGCAGGTACTTGGAAAGTCTATCCTGAGATATCTGATTGATTAGACATCCTGCAAGCAGCAAAGCCTTTCTGTAGCTATCTCTCAGAAGCTAATGCTTTTATGTTAGTCACATATGCAATTTCCTCCCGCAGGCTATTTATGAGTTTTTATTTTTATTTTCTAATGGAAAAAATTATTCAACTACATAAACATAGTTAGCATTAAAAATTATTTTAAATCATATATGAAGAATTTCATTTGTATATTTCTAACATTTGGGTAACCTGTTAGTATAGATTTTATTTCCTTTCTACCTTTGTCCTCCTAAATCAGAGAAACAACTTATTTTATCCTGTATTTCAAAGCAGATCAATGACTGAATTCTATAAATACTTCAGAATTATGTTATGTGTGTGTCTGTGTATGTGTGTATACCCTTATATATACACACATGCATATATCTACATTTATTTCTTTATTCAACTAATATTTACAAGCATGGACTATGTGTAGAATAGTCTTAGAGGTACAGGGAGGGCATAGGATAGACAAGACAAAGTTATTGTTCACTGTGTACCTTCATTTATTTTGTATATTCTTCCATATATTTTTAGGTATCCTTTTAACTCTTTAGGCCCCTTTATAGCTCTAAATATTTCCATCTATTATACATACATGTGTAGTTTGTTTCTCTATTCCTGTCATGAAGACATCCTATCATTAGTAATGTAATTAATATACATTTGGTGCTTTTTAAAGAAACAATTGACACAAAATAATTGTACATATTTGTGTACATAAGATACAAATACGTACATAAATATGTGTACATATTTGGTACTATGTGATGTTTTGATACACATATACATTGTGTGATTATCAAATCAGGGTAATTAGCATATCCATCATCACAAACATTTATCATTTTTTTGTAGTAAGAACATTCAAAATGTTCTTTCTAGCTATTTTGAAATATTCAATACATTATTGTTAACTATATTCACTCTACTGTGCAATAAGACAATAGAACTCATTCTTCCTATCTATTTGTAACTTTATACCCATTGACCGATCCTCCCTATTTCCCCTCCACTTTCTCCTTTCCCCACTTGCTGGTAACCACTGGTCTATTCACTGCTTTTATGAGATGAACTTTTTAGATTCTACTTATAAGTAACATCATTTGTCTTTCAGTGTCTGGTTTATTTCAAGTAACATAATCTCTTTCATGTTGTCTTATACGACAGGATTTTATTCTTTTTTATAGATGAATAGTATTCCATTATGTTTATATACCACATTTTCTTTATCCATTCATCCATGGATTAACACATAAATTGATTTTATATCTTGACTATTGTGAACAGTGCTACAATGAACGTGGAAATGCAGGTATCTCTTTGTTGTGTACTATGTACCTTCTAGTCTTAATATGGTAGCTCTATTTTTATATTTTTGAAGAACCTCCATACTGTTTTCCGTAATGGCCATAATAATTTACATTCCCACCAAAGGTTACAAGAGTTCTCTTTTCTCCATATCCTCTCCAATACTTGTTATCTTTTGTTTTCGATAATAGCCATTCTAACAGGCATGAGGTGATATCTTGTGGTTTTAGTTTGCATTTCACTTATGATTAGTAATTTGAACATCTTTTCCTATGCTTTCTGGTCATGTGTATGCCTCCTTTTGAGAAATGTCTATTATGGTGTTTTGCCCATTTTTAAATCATATTATTTGTTTGTTTTGCTATTGAGTTGTTCGAGTTTTTTAGATATTCTGGATATTAACCCCTTGTCATAGGTATAGTTTACAAACATTTTTCTCCCATTCTGTAGGTTATCTCTTCTCTCTTGATTGTTCCCTTTGTCCATTTTTTTATATTATTGCCAGAATTTTTGGAGTCATATCCAGCAAATTATTTCCCAGGCCATTGTCCTGAAATGTTTCTCCAAGTTTTTCTTCCAGTAGTTTCATAATGTCAGGCCTCATGTTTAAGTCTTTAATCCATTTGGAGGTGATTTTTGTACATGGTGTATGATAGGGATCTAGTTTCAATCTTCTGTGTATGGATATCTAATTTTCCCAGCACCGCTTATTGAAGAGACTGCTCTTTTCCCCAGTATGGGCATCTTTGTTGAAAATCAGTTGGCTGCAGTTACATGAATTTATTTCTGTGGTCTTTATTCCTTTCCATTGGTCTGTATGTCTGTTTTTAATGCTTATATCATCCTGTTTTGGTTGTGTTGTGTTTTGGTTGTGACAGGGTGATCCCTGTGATATACTGTTTTGTTGTGATGCCACCAGCTTGTTTTATTTTTTTTCTGCTAAAGAAAAATTTGGTGTATTTTGTTGTTCTATACACATTGTAAGATTTTTTTTCTATTTCTGTGAAGAATGTTGTTGATATTTTGATAGGAGTTACATTGACTCTGTAGATCCCTTTGGGTAGTATGGACATTTTAATAATATTAACTATTCCAATCCATGAACATGGGATATCTTTCCATTTATTTGTGTTCTGTTCAACTTCTTTTACTTATGTTTTATAGTTTTCGGTGTAGAGATCTTTCACCTTCTTTTAAAATTTATTTCTAAGTACTTTTTTGTATTAATAGTTACATGAATGGTATTGTTTTCTTGATTTCTCTTTAAGATAGTTTATTACTGGTATATAGAAATGCTACTAATTTGGGTATGTTGATTTTGTATCCTACAACTTCACTGAATTTGTTTAAGAGTGCTAATGGTTTTTGGTGGAGTCTTTAGGGTTGTCTACATATACAGTCATGTCATCTGCAAATGAGGACAGTTTGAATTCTTATTTTCCAATTTGGATACCCTTTATTTGCTTCTCTTGACTAATTGCTATGGCTAAGACTTCCAATACTATGTTGAATAGAAGTGGTGAAAATCAGCATCCCTGTCTTGTTCTAGAACTTAGAGAAAAAACTTTCAACTTTTTCTCATTTAGTATCATGTTAACTGTGGGTTTATCATATATGGACCTTGTATAGTATGTACCTTCTAATCCTAAGTTGTTGATTTTTTTTAATCAAGAAGTGATATTTCATTTCATTTAATGCTTTTTCTGCATTTATTGAAATGATCATATGGTTTTGGTCTTTCATTCTTATGTGATATATATCACATTTATTGACTTGCGTATATTGAACCATCTTTGCATCACTGGGATAAATCCCACTTGACCATCATAGATAATCTCTTTAATGTGCTGTTAAATTCAGTTTGCAAGTATTTTGTTGAGGAGTTTTGCATCTATGTTCATCAGAGATATAGTGTTCTTTTTGTGTTGTGTTTTGCTCTGATTTTGGTATCAGGGTAATTCTGGCCTTGTAGAATGAATTAGGAATTAAGTAATCTCCTTCAATTTTCTTGAGTAGTCTGACAATAATTTGGTATTAGTTCCTCCTTAAATGATTGGTAGATTTCAGCAACAAAAAAAGCTATCCAGCTCATGGGTTTTTCTCTGATGGAAGACGTTTTACAACTTATTCAATTTCCTCACTTTTTATTATTCTGCTCAGATTTTCTATTTCTTCATTATTCAGTCTTGGTAGGTTCTATGTGTCCAGAAACTTATCTCATTATTTATCTATGTTCTCCAATTTGTTGGTGTATAATTGTTCACCAGCAATTGATCTTTTGTGTTTCTGTGGTATCAGTTGTTATGCCCCATTTTTCATCTATGAATTTATTTATTTGAGTCTTCTCTATTTTTCTCTTGGTCTAGCTCAAGGTTTGTATATTTTATCTTTCTATAAAACCAACTCTTGGTTCCATTGATCTTTTGTATTTTTAAGTCTCTAGTTCAATAATTTCTGCTCTGGTCTATTATTTCCTTTCTTCTATGAATTTGGGGTTTATTTTGTTCTTGTTTTTTTTTTTAGTTCCTTAAGGTACATCATTAGGTTGTTTGTGATCTTTCTTCTTTTTTGATGTAGGAATTTATCGGTGTAAACTTCCCACTTACAACTTCTTTTGCTGTATCTCAAAGGTTCTGATATGTTGTTTTCATTTCTGTTTGTCTCAAAAATTATTTATTTATCTATTTATTATTTTTATTTTGTTGAGATGGGGTTTCAGTATGTTGCCCAGGTTGGTCTTGAATTCTTGGCCTCGAGCAATTCTCTCATTTAGGCTTCTAAAATACTGGTATCACAGGTGTGAGCCACCATGCCCTGCCCTGTCTCAAGAAATTTTTAAATTTTAATTTTTCCACTGAAACATTGATTGTTTACAAGCACGTTATTTAATTTTCATTTACTTGTGAATTTTCTGAATTTGCTCCTGTTATTGATTTTTGGTTTTATAACATTGTGGTCAGAAAACATACTCGAAATTATTGTGATCTTCTTAAATTTACTAAGAGTTGTTTTGTGGCCTAATGCATGATCTATTCTGGAGAACGCTCCACATGCTATTGGAAAAAATGTGTATTCCACAGCTGTTGGGGGGAATGTTCTGTAAATCTCTATTAGGCCCATTTGGTCTAAAGTGAGGTTTAGATCTGATGTTTCTTTGTTTATTTTTTGTCTCGATGATCTGTCCATTAGTGAGAGTGGGCTGTTGAAGGTTCCTACTATTATTGCATTGCAGTCTATCTCTCCATTTAGATCTAAAAAAACAATTGCTTTATATATTTGGGTGTTCCAGTGTTATATGCATATATATCTACAATTATTATTTACTCTTGTTAAGTTGACATCTTTATCATTATATAAAGACCATCTTTGTCTCTTTTTGCAGTTTTGACTTAAAGTCTATTTTATCTAATATAAGCATAACTACTCTTGCTCTCTTTTGTTTCCATTTGCATGGAATACCATTTTCCATTCCTTCACTTTCAGTCTATGTGTGTCCTTATAGGTAAAGTGGGTTCTCTGTAGACTGTGTAAAGTTGGGTCTTGTTATTTATTAATTTACTTTGTGGTGTGGATAGAGAAGGAGGATTAAATAATATAAATTTATTTTCTCACAATTCTGAAGTCTAGAAATCAAAGATCAGGGTATCTTTGGGATTGCCTTCATTCTGAAGCCTCTCTCCTTGGTTTGCAGATGGCTGCCTTCTTGCTGTGTCCTCTCATGATTTTTCCTCTGTTGAAAACATCCCTGGTGCCTGGTCTTGTTTTTTTATCCATTGGGCCACAATGGATAAAAAATTTTGATGGGTACTAGTAGGTGTATATATTTTAAAAATTTTTAAAACATTTTTGATGGGTACTATTAGGTGTATATATTTATGGGGTATATGAGCTACTTTGGTACAGGCATGCAATGCATAATAATCACATCATGGTAAATGGGGTATCCATCACCTCAAGAATTTATCCATTGTGTTACAAATAATCCAATTATACTATTTTAGTTATTTTAAAATGTACAATTAAATTATTATCAACTATGGCTACCTTGTTGTGCTATGAAATACTAGGTCTTATTCATTCTTTCTAAGTACTTTTTGAACCCATTAACCATCCCTACTCTTCTACCCCCCAACCTCCACTACCCTTCTCAGCTTCTGGTAACCATCCTTCTACTCTCTATCTCCACGAGTCCAATTGCTTTAATTTTTATCTCACACAAATAAGTGGAACAAGTGATGTTTGTCTTTTGGTGCCTGGCTTATTTCACTTAACATAATGACCTCTAGTTCCATCTATGTTGTTTAAAATGACAGGATTAGGCTGGGCACAGTAGCTTATGCCTAAAATCCCAGCACTTTGGGAGGCCATGTTAGGCAGATTGCTAGAGCCCAGGAGTTCTAGACCAGCCTGGGCAACATGGTAAAGCCTTGACTCTATAAAAAAAAAAAAAAAAAACAAAAATTGGCCAGGCACAGTGGCTCACACCTGTAATCCCAGCACTTTGGGAGGCTGAGGCAGGCAGATCATGAGGTCAAGAGATCGAGACCATCCTGATCAACATGGTGAAATGCCGTCTCTACTAAAAGTACAAAAATTAGCTGGACGAGGTAGCATGTGCCTGTAGTCCTGGCTCCTCAGGAGGCTGAGGCAGGAGAATCTCTTAAATCCGGAAGGCGGAGGTTGCAGTGAGCCGATATTGCGCCACTGCACTCCAGCCTGGTGACAGAGCGAGACGCCATCTCCCCATTCCCCCACCAAAAGATCTGGATGTGGTGGTGCATGACTGTAGCCCCAGCAACAAGGGAGACTGAGGTGGGAAGATCCCTTGGGCCCAGGAGGTGGAGGATGCAGAGAGCCATGAGCATGCCACTGCACTCCAGGCTGGGTGATAGCACAAGACCCACAAACAAACAAACAAACAAACAGACAAACAAACACAGGATCTCATTCATTTTTATGGCTACATAGTCCCCCATTACGTAAAAGTACCACATTTTCTTTTCCTTATCCATTCATCCATTCATCTTTAGATGGACACTGAGGTTGCTTCCAAATCTTGGTTATTGTGAACATTGTTGCAACAAACATAGGAGTACAGATATCTCTTCAATATACTGATTTCCCTTTTTGGGAGTGTATACCCAGCAGTGAGATTACTGGATCATATGGTAGCTCTATTTTTAGTTTTTTGAGGAATCTCCAAATGATTCTCCATAGTGGTTGTACTAATTTGTATTTCCACCAACAGTGTATGGGGGTTTCCTTTTCACTACATCCTTGCCAGCATTTGTTACTGCCTGTCTTTTGGATAAAAGCCATTTTAACTGGGGTGAGATGATACCTCACTGTGGCTTTGATTCACATTTCTCTGATGACCAATGATGTTGAGCACATTTTCATATGCCTGTTTGCCATTTGCATGTCTTATTTTGAGAAATAGTTATTCAAGTCTTTTGCCCATTTTTAAATCACATTATTAGAGTTTTTCCTATAAAGTTAGAGCTATTTATGTATTCTGGTTACTAATGCCTTATCAGATGGGCAGTTTGCAAATACTTTCTCCCATTTTGTGGGTTGTGTCTTCCCTTTGCTGATGGTTTCTGTTGCTGTGCTGAAGTATTTTTTAACTTGATATGATCCCATTTATCCATTTCTGCTTGTGTTTGTGGGGTAAGAAATTTTTTCCTAGACCAATGTCCTGGAGAGTTCCCCCAGTGTTTGCTTGTAATAGTTTAATAAATTGAGGTCTTAGATTTAAGTCTTTAATCCAGTTTGACTTGATTTTTGTATATGGCAAGAGATAGGGGTCTAGTTTCATTCTTCTGCATATGAATATCCAGTTTTCCTAGCACCATTTATTGAAGAGGCTATCTTTTCTCCAATGTATGTTCTTGGCACCTTTGTTGAAAGTATATTTACTGTAGGTGTATGAATTTGCTTCTGGATTCTCTATTTTGTTCCATTGGCCTATGTGTCTATTTTCATGCCAGTACTATGCTGTTTTGGTTACTGTAGCTCTGAGGCATAATCTGAAGTCAGGTAATATGATTCCTCCAGTTTTGTTCTTTTTGCTTGGGACAGCTTTGACTATTCTGTGTCTTTTATATTTCCATATAAATTTTAGAATTTTTTTTCTATTTCTGTAAATAATGTCATCGGTATTTTGATAAGGATTGTATTGAATGTGTAGATTGCTTTGGGTAGTAAGTATGAACATTTTAACAATATTGATTTTTCTAATCCATGAACATGGAATATCTTTGGATTTTTTGGTGTCCTCTTCAATTTCTTTAATCAATATTATATCATTTTCATTGTAGAGATTGTTCACTTCTTTGGTTGTTAATTCCTAGGTATTTAATTTTATTTGTGGCTATTGTAAATGGGGTTATGTTTTTATTTCTTTTTCAGATTGTTCACTGTTTGCATATAGAATGCTACAGATTTTTATATATTGATTTTGTATCTTGCAATGTACTGAATTTGTTTATAAGTTCTAATATAATCTAATAGTTTTTTGGTATTAGAGCTTATAAACAAAGGTAGAGTCTTTATGTTTTTCTGAATATAAGATTATATAATCTGCAAACAAGTATAATTTGACTTTTTCCTTTCCAATTTGGGATGCCCTTTATTTCTTTCTCTTGCCCAATTGTTCTAGCTGGGGCTTCCAGTACTATGTTGAAAAGTATCACTGTATATGTTTTAAATGAAGAATTTAATCCATCTCATTTAATGTTATTATTTTTTAACTTTGATTCTTTATTTATTTACTTAAGAGACAGGGTCTCATTCTGTCACCCAGACTGCAGTGCAGTGGTGTAATCCTGGCTCACTACAGTCTTGATCTTTCAGGCTCAAGTGATCTTCCTATGACAGCCTCCCAAGTAGCTGGGACTACAGGTACACACCATCAGGCCTGGGTAATTTTTTAAATTTTTTTTGTAGAGACAGAGTCTTTCTATGTTGCCCAGGCTGGTCTCAAACTCCTGGGCTCAAGCAATCCTCCTGCTTTGACCTCCCAAACTTTTGGGATTACAGGCATGAGCCACCATGCCTGCTCAAGATGATTACTGATCTATAACAACTTACTCTTGCCATTTTGTTGTTTTCTAGATCCTTTTTAAAAATTGTTATTTATCTATTTATTTTTGAGATGGGGTCTCTGTTGCCCAGGCTGGAGGACAATGGCGTGATCTCAGCTCACCGTGACTTCTGCCTCCTGAGCTCAAGCAATTCTCCTGCCTCAGCCTCCTGAGTAGCTGGGACTACAGGTGTGCACCACTGTAACCAGCTAATTTTTGTATTATTTTTAGAGACAGGGTTTTGCCATGTTGCCCAGGCTGGTCTCAAACCCCTGAGCTCAAGTGATCCACCCACCTCGGTCTTCCAAAGTGCTGACATTACAGATCTGAGCCACAGCTTAACTTTGGTTGGATACAAATACTCCAACTTTTCCTCTCACCACAATTTATACTTTTGTTGCCTTAATTTAGATATCTTTGTATTGTAACTTTCTTAACAACTCATTATAGATATAATTATTGTTGGCCATTTTGACTTTTAACCTTCATACTGAAGATTTGAAAATTATATAGTACCAGCACACTAATGTAATATTCTGAACTTATTATGAATTTACCTCTTCCAATGAAGTTTACACTTTTTTCATATGTTTTCATGTTATTAGTTATTATCTTTTCACTTCTGCTTGAAGCACTCCTTTAAGCATTTTTTGTAAGGTCAGTCTTGTGGTGACAAATTCCCTCAGCTTTTGCTTGTCTGAGAAAGTATTTATTTCTTCTTCATTTCAAAAGGATGGTTTGCTGGGTCTAGTATTCCTGGTGAAACTATTTTTTCTTTTATGACTTTGAATATAACATTACATATGTTACACTCTCTCCTAGCCTGCAGTTTCTGCTAAGAAATCTGCTGATAGTCTAATGGGGCTTCCCTTATATGTTGACATTTTTCTCTTGCTGCTTTTAGAAACCTCTCTGTGTCTTTGACTTTTGACAATTAGATTATAATGTGCCTCAGAGAAGACCCCTTTGGGTTGAATCTATATGAGATTCTCTGAGTTTAATGGAACTGGATGTCCACAACTCTCCCAATACTTGAGAGGTTTTCAGCTATTATTTTGTTTAAAATTTTTTTCTGTGACTTTATCTCTTCCCTGTCTTTAACTCTCTTATTGTAAATATTTGTTCATTTAATTGTGTCCCATAAATCCTCTAGGCCTTATTGGTTCTTTTCCATTCTTCTTTCCCCATTTTTCCTCTGTTATTTCAAAAGAGATGTCTTCAAGTTCAGAAATGTTCTTCTGTTTGATCTAGTCTGAGGTTGAAGCTCCCTGTTATATTTTTATCTCATTCATTGAGTTCTTCAGTTCTAAGATTTCTGTTTGGTTCTTTTTTTATATTTGTCTCCTTGTTGAATTTCTCATTCAGGCCATGAATTATTTTTCTGATTTCATTGAATTGTCTACCTGTATTCCCTTGCATCTCACTAAGTTTCCTTAGAATTGTTATTTGAATTCCTTTTTAGGCAACTATATGTTTCCATTTCTTTAGGGTCAGTTACTAGAGCATCATTGTGCTCCTTTGGTGATGTTAAGTTTCCTTGCTTTTTCATGTTTCTTGTGCTCCTGTGTTGATATATGCGCATCTGGTAAAATAGTTGCCTCTTCCAATTTTATGGAGTGGCATTTGTATTTTATAGACAGACTTTCACCTACAGATGTGTCTGAGGGTATCAGTTGGGTAGCATGTGTATTGGCTTTGGTTCTGGGTGGGCACAGTAGGGGTCTCCATGCAGTTTCTTCAGCTGTAGTCAACTTTGGTAATGCCTGAGTGCTTTGGTGGCATAGGCTGCAGGAGTTTGTGTGGCTAGGCTGCCAGATAGGGGTGGGAGCTCCTCTGGGAGCAACATGCCTGCCTGGTGAGTAAAGGGCTTGGTCCATCAACTCAGGGTGGAGTCTTTCTGGGAGAACAGTACTTGGCTGGTGAGTGGACTGGTGGCATGTGAGGGGCAGTCTGCTGGTTTGGGGTGGAGCTTCCTTAGGAGCAGCATGCCTGCCTGATGAGTGTGCTGGCAGTATGTGTGGATAGGTTTGCTGACTTATAGTGGCTCTCCCTTAGAAGTGGAGTACCTGGGTGGTGATTGTGGGCCTGACTCGCAGCTTGAGGCAGGGCTCCTTTGGAATCAACGTGCCTAGCTTTTGAGCTTGCCAGTGACACACAGAGGCCATCTTATCAGCTCTGGACAGGGTTTCTATGGAAGTGGCATGCCCAGCTGGTGATCATGCCAGGGTACATGGGGACCACAATTTGCTGACTCAGAGGAGGGCCTCCCTGTAAGCAGTGCACTTTTCTGGTGAGCACTCTACTGGTGCATGGGGGCTGATTTGTCAGCTCAGGGTGGGCCTCCCTCAAGGCAGCATGCTTGGCTGGTGAATGTGCAGTTGGTCTGTGGGGGCCTGGTTCACTGGCTTGTGGCAGGACACCCCTGGAATTGGTGTATCTGGCTGGTGAGTGCATTGGGATATGCAAGGACCAGTCCACTGGCTCGAGGCAGGGCTCTCTTGGAAGTAGTGTGCCTGGCTGGTGATTGTGTTGACTGTGCATATGGCTGACCCAGACTAGGTTTCTCTGCTGGGCAGAATTATCTATTACTTTGGAGGCAGTAAGCTGCATGGGCTCTGGGGCCAGGTTGCTGGACCTAGGTTCCAACAGGCTGGGGTCAGGGTGCTACAGTCACTAAGATGTGAAAAGCAGAGATTGTCTCCTAGGCAACTTGTTCCCAGGGTGTGGGGATCTGTAGCAATTTGGTGATGGAATGGTGCACTTCTTTGTGTGAAGGTGGTATAATGGCATTTTAGCCTCAGAGATGAAAAGATGCAGTTCCTGGAGCAAGGTGCACTCTACCTGTTGTTCCGGTTTCAAGATGGGTCCTATATAGCTGCAGATTGGGTTGTGTGGGTCAGAGGGCACACAATGTGGGCTTCTTTTCTGGGGGCAGTGCAGCTATATGGATACCAAGCCCCTCCCCAAACTGGGCTCAAGGACTGTGAGGACTGAAGATTTCTCTGGAAGCAAAGACTGCAGGTGTTCATCACATTAATGGGGGGTGCTACAGGCCTCCTACATACCTTTGTCCATCAAGTGCCTTCTTGTTCCTAGATAATTCCAGCTGAGAAGATCACGTGGTGGAGGCAGGGTGTTTCTGTCTCTTCTGTATGTGGCCCTCCCTAAAGGTCTCCTTGCTCCACAGGTTTTCTCTCTTCCCTGCTGTACTGCAGTGTTCTCCCTCAAACACCCCAGTCCAATGTAATTTTCATTCATTGCTTTGATCCTGTCTTGTATGGTGTACTAGCATTATGCTCCTCTAGTCAGCTATCCTGCTCTGCCTACTGGTGCTTTCTTTTTTTGATTTTTGGATTGAAAACAAAGTTAATTATTTCAGTAATTAAACACCTAGAATATATCTTCTTTTCCTTTCATTTTGTTTTTGGTAACAGCTTTACTGAGATATAATTCATAGACCATGAGATTCATCCTCTTAAAGTATACAATTAATTGATTTCTAGCATATTTACAGATCTGTGCAACATTTCTGCTACTTGATTTAAAAACATTTTCATCATCTCAAAAAAGAAACCAAACCCATTACAGTCACTCTCTATTTCCCCCCCACCTCTGTCCCTGGCAACCACTAATCCACTTTCTATCCCTCTATAGATTTGCTTATTTTGGAAATTTCTTGTAAATGGGATGGTACAATATGTGGCTTTTCACATCTGGCTTCTTTCACTTAGCATAATGTTTTCAAGGTTCAACCGTGTTGTATCCTATATCAGCGCTTCTTTCTTTTAATGGAAGAAAAGTATTCCATTTTGTGGATATACTACATTTTGTTTATCCATTTATCAATAGGTAGACATTTGGGTTGTTTTCCTCTTTTGATGATCATAAATAATGCTGCTATATATATTCATTTAAGAGGTTTTGTGTAGACATATGTTTTCAACTGTAGGAGTAGAATTGCTGGATTATATGGAAACTCTACATTTAACCACCTGAGGAACTGCCAAACTATTTTCCAAAGCAGCTGCACCATTTTATATTCCAGCAATGTATGAGAGCTCAAATGTGTCTACATCTAGTGAAGAGAAACTCTGTTCACTGGTCTACTTGTTGCCTAACTTCTCTGCCTCTCAAAAGTATCCCCAACTAGGCATGACTCAGCCTCATTTTATGTTTGGATATTTACAGGAAGGTGATTTTCTCCTATTAGGTTTGCAAAGTTTGTTTCTTCACAAACATTTTTTCCTGTGCTCTCTGCTCCTTCTTTTAATCACTTTAATCACTAAAAGACTGGTCTATAGAATGCCTATATAATTTCCATTTATTAAACTTTCCCCCTGAGGCTTTCTTTTAAGGAATTGCATTTCATCCTACTTGACTACTTCACAATGAAATCCCAGGATCCTGAAGAGAATCTTTCATGAGGCTGTGCATTTTGCTGAAACTAATTCTATCCCATACCTGTCTCTACTCCACTTTTCCACTGTGCCTTCAAGAACTGACATCTTATCCCCCTCCTATGCAATTTGTTCTCTGTACTCTCCCTTGATCTTTTTGTTCATTGTATCTTGATGGTCACTTAAGACCACAGCTTTTTCTGCCATACTTTTGGATGGCAGCTGTTTTTTCTGAAATATTCCACATGTCTAAACCTGGAGGATGGATAGGTGTCCTCTTCAGTCCACACTATCACTTCTAGACCATTTGCTTTCACCATTCCTAACACTCCTAGGCTTTAGCTTAGGCATAATATCTGCCTCCCCTCCTCTTTCAATCATCTACATCCCCACTGCCAGGTACTACTCAGCTGTTTTCTCTCCTTCATAAAAAGTTTTCTCAAATTTATTCATACTCACTCTCACCATTTTCTCTCCTCTCATTCTGTCTTGAACCCACAGCAATCAAGCTTTCATCCCCACTATTCTGCTGAAAGAGGTGTTATTAGAATCACGTGTGTGTTCCATGTTGCCAAATTCAGTGGTCAACTTTCAGCCTTTATCTTACTGGGCATATTGGAAGCCCTCATTCCTTCCTGCTTGACTGTCTTCATATGACCTGTAGGTCACCACTCTTTCCAGGTTCCCTTACTTCCTCGCTGGTCACTTCTTCTCATCTCCTTTGCTAGATCTTCCTCATCTTTCTACTCTTTAAGGTTAGGCTGCTCTGTGTTTCAGTCATTAGATCTGATTTATTCTCTATCTATACTCATGCCTCAGATGATTTGTTCAATCCCATGGCTTCAAATACAGATCTGTGTATTGAGGACTCCCAAATTTACATCTCCAGCCTGTTTCTCATGCATATATATCTGCCTATGTACTTGACATTTCCACCCATATGTCTAATAGACTTCTTCCATTTGACCTGTCCAATATGAAATTTTCTCACCTCAAAACTGTTTCCTCAAAACCTGGGATCATGTTTTACAATTTATACTGCTAAAACACCAGTCCAAAGTACTGCATTTTCATTCCTGGATCATTGTCTTCTAATTTCCCCATTCTTACTCCTCTTGCCCCTACACAGTCTATTCTATATTCAGCAAAGTGAGCAATCCTTTTGAAACATGTCACTTCCAGCCTAGCCAACATGGTGAAACCTTGTCTTTACTAAAAATACAAAAATTAGCCAAGCGTAGTGGCACATGCCTGTAATCCCAGCTACTCAGGAGGCTGAGGCAGGAGAATTGCTTGAGCCCAGGAGGTGGAGGTTGCAGTGAGCCTAGATCTTGCCACTACACTCCAGCCTGGCAGACAGAGTGAGACTGTCAAACACACACACACACACACACACACACAAAATTAGCTGGGCGTGGTGGCATGGGCCTGCAGTACCAGCTACCAGGAAGGCTGAGGTGTGAGGATTGTTTGAACTCGTGAGGCAGAGGTTGCAGTGAGCTGAGATTATGTCACTGTACTCCAGCTTGGGCGACAGAGTGAGATCTTGTCAAAAAAAAAAAATAGAAAAAAGAAAAGAAATGAAATGAAACTTGTTACTCCTCCATTTAGAATCTTACAATGACTTCCCTTTGTAGAGACACAAAAGCCCAAGTCCTTATCCTAGTCTAACGGGGCTCAAAGGCTGAGTGGCCCTGCTACCTGCCTAATCTGTCACTACCTGTTTTTCTTCATGCTCATTCTACTCCTGCCATACTTGCCTCTTGGCTCTATTTTGAGCACCAGACTCTATCCTGCCTTGGAGGTCGTTGCACTTGCTCTTCCATCAGGTATCCATATGGTTCACTTTCTTCTTTTTTATTTTTATTTTTTAGATGGAGTTTTGTTCTTGTCACCTAGGCCGGAGTACAGTGGTGTGATCTTGGCTCACAGCAACCTCCACATCATGGGTTCAAGTGATTCTCCTGTCTCAGCCTCCCAAAGTAGCTGGGATTACAGGTGCCCACCACCACACCCAGCTAATTTTTTTGTATTTTTAGTTGAGACAGGGTTTCACCATGTTGGCCAGGCTAGTCTTGAACTCCTGACCTCAGGTGATCCACCTGCCTTGGCCTCCCAAAGTGCTGGGATTACAAGTGTGAACCACTGTGCCTGGCCACTTTCTTAATTCTTTCAGGCCTCTTTGCTCGAATGTTATCATATTAGAGATACTTTCCTGGAAACCCAATCTAAACAGTAGCTTCTCCATTCTGTTCACTTAATTTGCTTTACTATTTACTTCATAAAGCTTACCACCTGATGTTTATTTATTTTTTATTGTTTATTATCTGTCTCCTCCAGCTGGAATAAAAGCACCATGAATGCAGGAATTTTGCCAACTTCTGGCACAGAGATGGCTTTCAAAATCTATTTGGTGAATGAATGAATGAATTGCATTTTCTTCCTAAATTTCACAATTGTGAGTTCTTATGTACTTGTTCATTTAACAAATATTTATAACCATTCTCCTTATTTCATATACAGAATAGCCAAACTTGAATTTCCAGTTATAAATTCCAGTACTTGGGAGTAATTTTCTCAGATAAATAGAAAACAGTAATTACTAGTAATTTAGAGCTCTTCATCATACTTTTGTGACAGTATCATAACATACATTTAAAAAATTGATGGAGTGGCTTATTTGAGTCCCACTTCCATTATTCTATAATTTTAAAATTGTGTAAATTTTGTCATGCCTGAGGCTTGAAAGCCCTTTAAAAAATGCACAGTAACCTCTGGTGAAATAATCTCCAGTGTAGTGACCTCACTCTCAAAATGATTCATTCTATCCCTTCTTCAGACTGCAGTAGCCCTTATGAAGTACGTTTCATAGGAGTCCATGTTTGGTGAAAAATGGTTCACTATAACTTTTACCTGTTGATCCTAGTCAGCTGCTTCCCCTTACTTCCCTCCACCTACTACGACAACTAATCAAATATAATATTTTAAGGTCATTTACCAAGGTTGCTTTAAATCCTTGTCTTCCTTTTAAATTGTAGACACTCTACACTCTCCAGCTCAATATCAATTACTGTCTTAATGATAACTTTTTTTTCCTGAGAGCTTATACTAAAGGACACTCATCTGGGGTTACAGCATTAAGTGTCTCTTGAGATATTGCAATACAACAGTGAAAAAAACTTAACTTGCTCCCTCTCCATTATTAATAGGCTCTTTCTTAATACAGGTCATAGATTATATCCAGGGATAAGAAGGTTGGAGAACACCTGGTCTACCTATGTTTTTCTATCTTATTGTTTAATAAGTATTTTGTCTTTCTAGAGTACAGATACAATAGCCTTACTGAAACTGAGAGATAACATCAGCAATTAGAATTTGATGTAAAACAATTATTTGTCTGGCCCATGACTACAGCTATTACATTTCATAGAATTTTAGGGATAGGGAACATCTTAAAGATAAGTTAATCTAATCCACATATTTCACATATGTGAGTAACCTCAAGGAAGTTATTCCGATTAAGCTGCTCTTTCATGCTTTTTTTGTTGTTGTTACTCAATTCTGTGCCCTTTGCTTACCAGCAAAAGTGCATTCATATTACTTTCTAGTGATTAGAGGTGAAGATAAGACATAAAGTCATCTGGACTAAGTCCCTAATTTACAGATGATGAGATCTGAAAAGATTAAATGATTTGCCCAAATTCAAAAGGTTTTGTCCAAAACCTGGCCTGGCCCCAGGTTTCCTACTGGATTTGTATTCTAGGACACTTTCTATTACTCTGGGGTTTAGATTAAAGTCTCAAATTATTGAAAAATATAACTACCAGTAATCTGGAATCTTCCATTCTATTTCTTGAAAAGTAACATGAAATGCTTTTAAAAAGATTTGACAGAGTTTTTCTTTGAGCCAACTTCTACCTTTTAAATATGTTTTGAATTTTAAATATACATAAAATAGAAAGGATAGTATAATAAATGCTCATATGACAGATTCAATAATCATCATTTTATCTCACTTGTTATCTCCTCTGTTCCTTTCTTCTTCATTTTTTGCTGAAATATTTTAAATCCAAAATATTGTATTATTCTCCTGTGACATATTTCAGTAAGCTAAAAAGTAGACTCAAAAAATTGTGAAACTATCCCAGCACTTTGGGAGGCTGAGGTGGGCAGATCATGAGGTCAGGAGATTGAGACCATCCTGGCTAGCATGGTGAAACCCAGTCTCTACTAAAAATACAAAAAATAAGCGGGGCGTGGTGGCGGGTGCCTGTAGTTCCACCTACTTGGGAGGCTGAGGCCGGAGAATGGCATGAACCCGGGAGGCAGAGTTTGCAGTGAGCTGAGATTGCACCACTGCACTCTAGCCTGGGCGACAGAGCAAGACTCCATCTCAAAAAAGAAAAAAAAAAAATTATGAAACTATCATCACCCCTAATAAAATGAACAATTCCTTGCTATAATCTAATACATTCAATGCTTACACTTTCTTGAATGTCTCAAAAATAACTTTTTACTTTTGGTTTGTTCAATTAAGGAACTCACACAAGGTCCATATACTGCATTTTGTTAAATCTCTTTTAATCTAGGGCTCTTCTATATCAATGTTGTTGACTTATTGAAAAAAATTGGGTTACTTATTCTGTAGAATGTCACAAACTCTGGATCAATCTATATGTTTCCTCTTGGTTACATTTAACTTGTTACTCTATCCCTTATATCCCCAATTATCCCTGATAATTGGAGTTAGCATTCAAGGTTAGATGAGATTCAGGTTCAACTTTATTGACACACACTTGTGGTGCTGTGTGCTTCATTAAATGTACATAGTGTTACTGTCCAGTCATTCTACTTTTGTGATGCTAACAGGATACAATTTCCTAACAGCTTTTCATGTAGTAATTTCATCTACTGATAAAAGCTGCCTGTATCATTTTGTTACGAAATGCAAAGTGACAATTTTCTAATTTTCACTTTCTTTTCACTTTTATTAACTGGAATTTTTCTGTAGAGAACTTTTCACTGTCAACTAGGACTATTTAGTCACTCTGCAGTACAGAAAATGCCGGATGAATGCTTAATTCTTTTCTTTCTACTGCCAATGTCTAAAGTAAGGAAATGTTTAAATACTTATAATAGTGACCAACTAAATTTGTGTGTGTGTGTTTTGCTTTTTAGTGATGAAATGAACTAATGGATTAAAACAAAATAATTGCAGCCATTATTCTTTTCATTATTCTTATATTTGGCCAATGGATTCCTCCTGCATATTTATTTGCTCCTGTGGCCTTTGGACATGTCCTGTTAGTTTTTCATTTTATTTTTTTAAGAATGGAGTCTTGTGCTGTTGCCCAGGCTGGAGTGCATTGGTGTAATCATAGCTCACTGTAACCTTGAACTCTTGAGCTCAAGCAATCCTCCCACCTCAGCCAGCTGAACAGCTACGACTATAGGCACATGCCACCATGCATGACTATTTTAATTTTTGTAGAGACATGGTTTCACTACGTTGCTCAGTCTGGTTTCGAACTTCTGGCCTCAAGCAATCCTCCTGCCCCAGCCTCCCAAAGCATTAAAATTACAGGCGTGAGCCACCATACTCTGCCTCCCATTAGTCGTTAATTACCCTCCTTGCTTTCTGGCACAACAATTCGTCACAGACCCATTTCATGTATTTTCTGCCCCGAATCTGGAATCAGAATTCTGCCATAGAACTCTGGTTGCTTTTTGTGGGAAATCCTAATCAGAGAGCAAAATGTGGGCAATAGGAACAATCTTGTTTTTGGGTGGTCATTGTCCTCCATATTTTTGCAATTATAGTGCTAAGGAACATAATGTTGAAAGAAAAGCAAAATCTTGAAACAATACTGATATTTCCGATCCAAATTTGACATTATAGAATTTTCATTTAACTGAACTTGAAACTCTTTTCTCTTATACTGACAATTTTGGTTCTTAACAACATTGACAATATAACTTATTTGATTTATCTTCATGCACAAATGTGTGTATGTATTTGCATACAAACTAGTTTCAAATTAATAATATCAATATTAGTAGTAGTTTCTCAATTAAGTTTAAGATTCATCTTAAGCTCTGTTTACAATGGGAACTCTTTCTACTTAAGATGTACACTCGAAATACTCAAAAGTCATTTAAAACAAATCTATTATCTGTATATAATTAATTTGATATATTAATAGGTTCAACTGTTTTCATTTGTTTTTAGTTTAGCAAAGTGTGATCTCCAAAACAGTTGCTTCAGGATCACCTGAAAACTTGTTAAAAATATAAATTCTCAGGTTCTTGATTTTCTTCTAGGTCAGAAGCATTGAGAATCAGGCCCTAAAGATAATTTTTATGTACACTAAAGTTTGAGAACCACTGATCTAGTAATCCATTTTTTATTAGTTTTTCTTTTTACAAATAAAACACATTCATGTATATATTAATAATCACTTTTCTTATCTAAGTGGTATCATGCTATGTATACTGCTCTGCATCTTGCCATTGGAAAAAAATGTATTTTGTGTAAATCATTTTGTACTTTTAACCAGAATACTTTGGAGTAGATTCCTAGAAGTGAGATTGCTATACAGATTGCTTGCACATTTTTTTCCCTAGACATTATCAAATTTCTTTGCCTAACAGTTGTACCACTTTGTATTCCCATCAGCTGTCTTCTAAAACCTTGCTGATAGAGTATGTTGTCAGACTTTTGGATGTTTGCCAATCTAATAAATGAGAAATTGTAACTTGTTGCACTTTTTACTTGCATTTCCCTTAGTAAGAGTGAGGTTGAGCATTATTTCATGCATTTAGTGCCATTTCTTCTTTGAAATGTCTGCTTATATATTTTGCCACTTTTCTATCAGATTTTAGTTTTTTCTCAATTTGTAAGAAATCTTGATATATTAAGAATATTAGCCATTTAATTGCAAATATATTTTCTCAGTTTATCATTCATCTTTTGACTTTGCTGAGTC